>NC_000006.12:102798062-102949577 GCF_000001405.40 Homo sapiens | reverse complement strand
AGAGAAATTTCTGATTCTAGGAGTGGGGAAATAGACAAGGTGGCTTGGTACATGATATGGCTTGGATGTTTGTCTCCTCCAAATCTCATGTTGAAATGTAATTCCTAATGTTGGAGTGGGGCCTAGTGGGAGGCATTGGATCATGGGGGTGGATCCCTCATGAATGGCTTAGCACGATCCTCTTGGTGACGAATGAGTTATATCACTCTGTTAGTTCACATGAGATCTCGATGTTCAGTAGAATGTAGTGTTTCTCCCTTCTCTCTCTTGCTCTCCCTCTTGCCATGACACAGGCTGGCTCCCCTTCCCCTTTCACCATGACTGTAAGTTTCTGGAGGCCCTCAGCAGAAGTAGATTCTGCTTCCTTACAGCCTGAGTCAAAATAAAGTATCTTTTCTTTATAAATTACCTAGTCTCAAGCATTCCTTTATAGCAACACAAGAATGAACGAATACAGCATATCTTGTAGTTCCAGAAAGTATGAAACTGCTAAACAAACAAAGAACACTTCAATGATAGGCACAAGTCAAAAGGATATGGAATACAACTGAAAAACTCCCAATGGCCAAAGCCATAACAATTTTAATGAAAATAAATAAATGTGTATTGCATTATAACCCAGTGTATAATATAAATATCAATGAGTCTTTAATGATATAAACAGATGGTTGACTACATTTAAAATGAGGAGAAATAGACATATCTCCCATGCTAAATCATTCCAAATAATTTATTCTCCTAATTCAAGGAGGTTGATCATAATACCCACTCAAATGTGGGGTGCACATAGCCACTTTCTTCTTTAAAGTATAAAAAGAGGGGGAAAAGAGTAATGTCGCAATGAAGACACCTGAACAACACTACCTTAACTAGTGATCGAGTTTAACATAAACAGAGATAAACCATGTTACTATTACATGCACTTTATATGACGAATGATAGTAATATAAGATATAATAATAGGTAAACCTGGGTGTGAGATATACAGTCCTGTGTCCTTAAACAATGATTCAGCCAATGATAAACTGCCTATAGGGCAGTGCCCATAATATCCTGTAAGGTTAAAATATGACATTTTTACTGGACCTTTTATATGTTTAGATACCACTATATTATAATTGCCTACAAAATTTAGTACAGTAACATGCCGCACAAGTTTATAGCCTAGAAGCAATAGGCTAGATCATATAGCCTAGCTGTGTAGTAGGTTATACCATATAGGTCTGTATAAGTGCACTCTATGATGTTTGGACAATGATGAAATCACCTAAGGATGCATTTCTCAGAATGTGTCCCCTGCATTAAGCAACACACGACTATATTGGGATTCTCTGTTCTATCTTGTAATTTCTCTGCAAATGTAAAACTATTTAAAAATGTTATTAAAATGCATTACTAATAATTGCAGATTTAATCCCTAAGGGTTTACCTTCTCATATTCTATTCTTCACAAAATACGTAATTCTGCCACATGCAAACTTAGGCAGTATATTAGACTCCATCCTAGCCTCATTTTTACTCCTACTTAGTTCTTACCAGGACGCTTAACTCCTTCTCCCTGTTAATTTTTTACAAACCTCTACCTTGGAAATATGAATCAACTAGGACTCAATCTCCCAATCCTCCTTCTCTTTTCTGTGCATTGAGAGCTAATCTCTATACAGAATAAAATTACAGAACCAGGATCGTAAGTGACATATCATAATGAACTTCATATGTAATGTTTGAGGCCCAAATAACTTTTACCAATCCTTCATCCTTAATTAGCACCTTCTATATTTTTCAACAGAGAATACTTTAAAAGTTCCCAGAATCCATAGATTTTCTCTCCAGTATTCAACACGTTAACATGAAGTTTTATGGGAAGTATTTCATCCTTTTGCATTTTTCACGTCCTTTATGCTTTTAAGTAGCCTCTGAGGATGAAATCTGCTTCCTTCTCACAGCCATTGTTTTCATGCATGCATGTTTCCTTTCTCATTTCCTCAAATATTTAGCTCAGCAACATCCTTTCCATCTCCCTTGTAGTCAACCCTTCTCTTTCTATCAACAATTTCCTCAACATAAAGACATCTTCAAAAAATATTTATCAAATTTAAACAACCAATTAACTAAGCAAATAATAGCAATAATTGGCACACATATCCTCCTCATTTTCTTATTTTCCATTCATTGCTTGTCTTATTGCATTTTACCTTCCATGAAAAAGAATCTACTGACAATATTATTGTTTTTGTCATCATTGTCCTCTGAAGTTCTAAGGGGAATGACTACTGTATTCTGTATTTTAATTGATCTGAGACTTATGACATCGCTTCTATTCCCTACTACAAACTCTTTTCCCTCTTGTCTATTTGATATAATTCATTAGCTCACTTCTGTTTAATTAGTGTCTACTCCATGTCTACATTATTCTAGGCAATGGAGCTTACATTATAGTTAATGAGAAATACAAATAATAAACCGTGTGTGTGTGTGTGTGTGTGTGTGTTTCAGGTAATGATAACTGTTAATGGTGGGAAAAAATCATGATAGGATAATAAAAAGTACTGAGTGGCATTTTAGCAAAAAAATGTCAGAAAGTAACTCTCTGAGAGACAAATTTGAGCAAATCTCAGGCCATACAAAGAAATGTGCTAAAGATACTTATAGGATAGGGTACAGCAAGTGCCAAAGTACTGAAGCAGAAACAAGTTCGGTGTAATTCAGTCATAAACAATAAGAAGGCCAGAGATGTCAGGGTCAGTGAACTAGAGAGCCGAGAACAGCATAGTGGGAGAAGATACCAGAGATCTAGAAAGGACTGAATGAGTGATGGAACTTCACTCAGCAGGAACATGACAATTTATTGTATTCTAAATGGGATGGAGAAAGTGATATGAGAAAATTCTTTTAAAAGATCATTCTGGCTATATTCAAAATTGACCACAATGAGACAAGAATAGATATAAGCAGATTAGTCTGGAGGATGATACAGTAGTCTAGGTGGAAGATGATGGTGATCATGGTGGAGAAATTGAAATAGTCAAGCTTTATAATGTAAAGAGTTTTATTTTATAATCATTTTAATTGATAATCAGTAATAAATTTTTAAAGCTTCAATAGATAAAAGCATATTAAACAAGCCATATGGCACTTTACAGATGTAGATAATAGGAAAAATGTGACAGATAGAATTTAAAATATGGAGCTAATTTAAATATTATATTGTCAGGCACACAATTTTTTTCATTAAGTAATATTATGAAATAAGACAAATTCTGTTTTTAAAATATAAGCTAAAAAAATGCCCTAAAGAAGATAACCCCTACACTTATGTAGTTGATATATTTTCTTTTTGTCCCCATTTAAGTGTTGTTTATAATTAAATAAGAGTTACTAAGGTATCTTTGGATAAAAATATTTGAAGCATGATATATAAAATTCTTAATTGTTTGTAAAATGTAAGCATTTTTTTCTGTAAATATATCTATACTATATATCTATATAGTATATCCTACAAACTTGACAGCCATTGCTCCTTTTATAAACTTAAGTCAAATACATTGCTGAAATTAAGAAAATACTTCAAATAATAAGTCCATTCAGAGACAAAGATGATAGAATATTTTTACATTCATAGCGTACTATAAAATAAAGACTAAAGAGTATATTTTCCTTTGAGAAATCTGTACGCTTGTAAAATTATATAACCTAAATCATGTTTTCTGTTACTGTGAAATAGTTTAATTTTTTTTATTTTAGGCTTTTCCCTTATTATAACAAGTAAGCTAACAGCAGTATGAAATTTCAAAGTAAATAGATGAACATATGAACAATCTTTTTTTACTTTTTTCTCCCACAAAATACTGTCCTAATGGAAAACTTTTATGACTTTTTATATAAATCTTTTCAGAATCTTCTGATATCTCCCATTTTAAGAAAAAATCCCTTACCAGACATTATTCAAGAAATATGAACCAAGGTGTTTTATTAAATTTTATCTGTATATTATAACACAGAACTACAGAATTATAGACACTATTGATTTGAAGTTTGAGTATTAGAAATGACCATGACTGATTAGAGGAACATCATTTTAGGTTGCATGATGTAAAAGGAGTTGGTAAAATTAAATTGTCTTCAGTTTTCTTTCCTATAATGTTGTAGAAAATAAATCCACCTAGTTTTGCTGATAAATTTGACTTCTTAAATATATGAGTATGCATACATATGTATCTATATATAGAGAGATACATATGATATACATATATAGATAATTTTTAGGTAGAATGTATTGTAGCTATACTAGAGAAGAAAGTGTAGCTACATTTTACCATTATGTTCTCCTTGTTATATCTCACTTCCTGCTTCTTCTGACCTTTCCAAGAAACAACAAATTCTTAACTAAGGGCTCCTTGGTCCACCAAAATACCAAGTGTAATGCTAGGATTTGAGTAATTTTGAAAGATATTTAACTTCAGTCATTGAGAAATTTCATGTAATGAAAACCTCTAAATCCAATAAATTCCATGCTGAGATTCAACTCTAATTTTTTTTTGTTTGTTTTTATGCTGGGGAAAACCTCTATAGCAAATACTATCTATCAAGCATCTTGGATATATCTTAGATTCACTTTATCACTAATAAATATTTTAATTGATGTGCTGACAACTTTGTTTTATTTTATGCAAACCTATTTGACATATAAGCATTCATCAAACTGAATTTAAGCAAGTGTTATTAAGATTATTTGTTTGGCTTGCAGTATTTTCAGCTTCAGGTCATAGTATATATATTGTTCAAATTAAGTTCACTGAACTGTAAAGTGTGAGTATGTATCTGAGAGCTGTTAGAGAAGGCTTTCTGCATAAATGCCTGTTGGAGCAATCTGTTCATTTTTAAAATAGCATTCCTATTACTTGCCCTGTGGTTCTAGGTGACACATATGGACTCCATTTCTACGTATATCTGAGGCTGTAAATCAAATCAAAAGAATAATGTATCTTCCCTCTGTTTATCATCACAACAGTAAAAACAGAAGTGTTTAATTTTTTCATGTTATTAAAAAATTCATTTTATTTTTAAGCACAGTGTTTGACATTTTATACATTATAGTCAAAAGAGATCATCGTTAGTTTAACGTTTAAATAATTTATTTTATTTAACTATAATATTTGAAGTACTTTATAAACTGAAATTTTAGAAAATAAAGAGTAGTAGTTTAATAATTTTTATATAATTAGAATAGTTCAGCAATTCTCCAATAGTATTTTCTTTGATGAATTAATATATATGTTCTGATAGGTTGTTTTAAATTGAAATGAATAAAAGCCTTCAAGTCTATTCTCATAGCTTATCAGAAAAATAGCAAGAAAAAATATTTTAAAAAATATTTTACCAGGAACAAAGAACTATAATTTTGGTACGATATGAAAAAACTCTAGTGATTCAACATCTACAGCTTATCTGCAAAATACATCATCTCTAATTTACCAAATAGTGAACACTGACTTCTAGTAATTTAATTATATGAAGAGCTCACATATTTTTTTCTGCATGCTGTAAAATAGAAAGAGAAAATTTGCTTTAATTTCTATACTCTTCACATAGGACATGCAATGAAATCCTGTGTTTTGATGTTCTTATTTAACAGAAGAGAAATTGATAGGTTAAGAAAAGACTATTAAGCTTCCAATTGATTTCAGTCTTCTATTAATTGTGACATCAAAGGTCTCTGGCAGGAACTGCATCTGCTGCAATGGGAAGGAAAGCCCAAAAAGGCAGTGTCCTGAGGATTCGTTTTTAATATCTTCCCATACAATTTATCTGTAGTTATGTTTGCTTTTCTTTCTAGTAAACATTAAAACATTTCCTAATGTTCTTTCATTCCCTTTTCACTTTCATTCATTTTCTACATATTGTGTTTTGTATTATTCTCTATATCACTCAGCTAAAATATAAGTATTAGCTCCTTATTCTGTAAAGAATTTATTTTTATTGTTGTTATTTTTGTTTTTGGAGACAGGGTCTCACTTGGTCACCCAGGCTGGAGTGCAGTAACATGATCACGGTTCACTGCAGCGTTGATCTCCCGAGCTCAAGTAATCCTCCTGCTTCAGCCTCCTGAGTGGCCGGGACTACAGGTGTGCACCACCATGTTGGGCTAATTTTTTGGATTTTGTTTGTAGAGGCACTGTCTCCTTGTGTTGCCCAGGCTATTCTTGAACTCCCAAACTCAAGCGATCCTCCTGCCTCGGCCTCCTAAATTGCTAGGATTGCAGGTGTGAGCCACTAGGCACAGTGAAGAATTTATTTAACATTTTTAATACATTTACTTTATTTTTATATCTATATTATCTCCTTTCATAACCCATCTTAATATTAACTTCTAGAATTTAAATTTTAACATCGAAGTTTGCCAGATAATGTCTTATCTGAGAACATATTTATATGGTTCTTGATGCATGTCATATAGTAATGATGTTACTTTTGTGTAGTTATTACCATGGCCATTTTAGGAGTTTCTATTTTGCAAAAACCATATCATAAAAACACTGCTCTAGCCTCGAATTTGATAAGTCGCTTGAGCAACAAGTAAAATAACAAATCCTGCAGATGAAATTTAAAGAACTATTTGCCTGACTAAAAATAATAAATTAAAAAACAAAACGAAAATACACTGGGCTTGTAGTTTCTAGGCCCACATATAAGGAGCATGGAAGTCACCACTCCATCCTCATGACAAAGCTGAACAACAAAGCTGAAAAGACAGAAAAATCTGCTCCTAAGATTGGAGAGACTAATAGGCAGTTACAGGAGGCATAGTTTTATTAAAGTGGAGACTCATGAGCAGAAAATAGCAAGGGAACTAGTGCCAGAGTAGGAAAAGGTAAAAAATTGCCAGAGGTTCAGAGAAGACAAGTCTGAGAGTTGAAAACAGTAGGGCGACTCAGTAATGGTGTGGTGGTGCAGAACTTTTGTGAGTTTTACTGTCAGGGGCTCAACCTGGAGATACATATTTCTCACAGTAAATATCAGAGAAAAATCCACTCCTATTTATGGCAGAGGGAAGGAAAAAGAAACTGTTTTGAAATATGCCCTTCTGTTCTTCTAAGAAGGCATGTTCACCTGATGTTTACCCACATCAGGGTAAACTGGTTAACCAGAGTCTAACCTGCTGGGGCTTTGTCAGACCCTACCTGACTCAACACCAAACCACTCCAGCCATCCTGTCCCACCTAAATGGGAGTTGGGGAACTGAGAAACACTTAAGAAGTACACAGTCCAGAGGCATAGGCTCACTAAAACTCTGAGCCCTAATCATGTTCCTTACCATTACATTGCTAAAGGCCTACTTAGAAGTTCATTTTATTCACCACATCATGTCCAGTTATCAAGAAAAACATTATAATACATATTAAAGATAAAACACAACTTGGCCGGGCGTGGTGGCTCACGCCTGTAATCCCAGCACTTTGGGAGGCAGAGGCGGGCGGATCACGGGGTCAGGAGACCAAGACCATGTAGGCTAACACGATGAAACCCAGTCTCTACTAAAAATACAAAAAATTTGCTGGGCGTGATGGTGGGCGCCTGTAGTCCCAGCTACTCGGGAGGCTGAGGCAGGAGAATGGCATGAACCCGGGAGGCTGAGCTTGCAGTGAGCCAAGATCATGCCACTGCACACCAGCCTGGGCGACAGAGCCAGTCTCTATCTTTAAAAAAAAAAAAAAAAAAAAAAAAAACCCTTAAATAGACGGGGCAAGCACCAAAACCAGATAGAGCAAGAATGTTGGAAGTTTCAGGCCAGGAATTTGTAACAATTTTGACTAATATGCTAAGGGCTCTAATGGAGAAAGTAGTAGATAGCATGCAAAAACAGAAGGGCATGTAAGTAGAGAGATGAAAATCCCAAAAAAGAATTTAAAAGTAATGCTAGACATCAAAACCACTGTAACAGAAATGAACAATGTATTTCATGGACTTATTACTAGACTGGGCATAGATGAGGAAATAATCTCTGAACTCAAGGCTGTTGCAATAGAAAGCTGCAAAACTTAAATTAGGAGAAAAAAGACTGAAAAAAAATAGAGTATCCACAGACTGCAGAGACAACTATAAAATAAGTAACATATGCATAATGGTAACAGCAGAAGGTGAAGAAAGAAAGAAACAGAATAAATATTTGAAGTAATAATGACTGAGAATTTCTTCAAATGAATTCAGACACCAAACCAAATATCTAAGAAGCTCAGAGAATACCAAACAGGATAAATGCAAAATGTAAGAACAACAGCAAAACAAAATTAAAAAAGCATATGATTTTCAAACTATGGAAAAGTTGATAAAGAAAATAAATCCTCAGAGAAGCCAGAGGGAAAACACATTACCTTTAGTGAATCAAGTACAATAATTATATTAAACTTCTCCTCAGAAACCATTTAATCAAGAAGAAAGTGGACTGAAATATTTAAAGTGTTAAAAAGACAAAATAAGCAACCTAGAATCCTGTACCCTACAAAATAATCCTTCAAATCTGAATACGAAATAAAGACTTTCTCAAACAAACAAAATTGAGGAAATTTGTTGCCAGCAGACATAGCTTGCAAGGAATGTTAAAATAAGTTATTTAGAATGAAGGAAAAATATTATGTCAAAAACTTTCCATGCAAAGAAAAGAAAATCATCAAAATGACTATTGTTATCTTCACTTATGAAGATAAAATAGAAACTTATTGTTCTTATTACCAATTGATCTAACCAATAACAGCTTATTTAAAATAATAGCACAATGTATTCTATTACATATGTTTATGTATATATCTTTTATCTATTTTCCTATAGCTTAGGGATGCTTACATTTAAGTGAAATGAATGACAGCAATGCTATAAGAAATGAGACAGAGGAATTAGGATTATTATGTTAGTATAAAGCTCTTACACTACTTGTGAAGTGGTATAGTGTCATTTAAAAGAGGACTTTGATTGATTGTAAATGTGTATTATAAACTCTAAGGCAACCAATGGAAAAGTAATAAAAGACATATTACTGATATGCTAAGAAAAGAGAAAAAAATAAAATTATATGAAATATTCAATGAAAACTACAAAAGGCAGAAAAAAGTGGAAGACAAAAGTAGAAACCAAAAGCAAGGGATACAAATAGAAAACGGTAACAAATGTGGTAGATATAAATTCAATTATATCAATAATCCCTTTGAATGTCAGTGTCCTCAATGCAACAATTAAAAGAGTAAATGGATGAATAAACAAGACCCAATTTTATGCTGTTTACAAGACACCCACTTTAAATACAAAGATATATAGAGTAAGAGTAAATGGATGGAGAAAATATACCGTGCTAACAATGGTCAAAAGAAAGCAGGTGAAGCTGTGTTAATTTTGAAAAGAGCCAACTTCAAAACAAAGAAATTTATCAAGGACAGAGAAGTCTTTACATAATTAAGTGGTTAATTCTCCAAGAAGACAGCAATATTTAAAACATGCATGCATCTAACAGAGAATTAAAATATATTAAAAATGATAAAACTGTTAGAAGGAATAGAAGAATCTATTTATCTTAGTTGGAGAATTCCACACTTATATATCACAGATAGACAGATCTAGCAGGCAGAAAATCAGTAAGAGTGTAGTTGAACTCAACAACATCATCCATCAGCTATATATAATTGACATCTACAGACTACTTCATCTAACAACATCACAATACACATTATTCTCAAGCTCACAGGGAAAATTCACCAAGATTGAACACAATCAGGATCATAAAACACACCTAACAAATTTAAAAAATATAAATCATACAATCTCTGTTCTCAGACCACAATGGAATTAAACTAGATATCAATATAAGAAAGAGAATTAGAAAATCCCAAAGTACGTGAAGATTAAAAAATATACTTCTAAATAACACATAAGTCAAATAAGAAATCTTTAAAAATTAAAAGTATTTATATCTAAATGAAAACATAACTTATCAAAATTTGTGGGATTCAGTGAAAGCCGTGCTTAGAGGAAAATTTATAGCATTGAACGCATGTCTTAGAAAAGAAGAAAGATCTAAAATCAACAATTTAACTTTCCACCTCAAGAAATGGAAAAGGAAGTGGAAATTAAATCCAAGATTAGGAGACTAAAAGAAATAATAAGAACTAGAACAGAAATCAATAAAATTGAAAATAGAAAATCAATAAATTAATGAAACCAGAAGTTGATTATTTGAAAAGATCAATAAAATTGATAAACCTTTAGCCATGCCAACTTAAAAAAATACAAAAAAATACAAAAAAATTTCAGAAAGTGATCATCACTGCAAATCCCACAGACATCAAAAAGATAATAAGAGAATATTATGAACAACTCTATATACACAAATTTGAAAACCTCGATGAAATGAACCAATTCCTTCAAAGACACCGTCTGCCAACTGAACAAAAGGAAATAGAAACTCTAATACTTTTATACCTACTAAAGAAGTTGAATCAATTTAAAAAAACTTTAGAGAACAGAAATCATCAGGACCAGATGAGTTTACTAGTGAATTCTACCAAACATTTAAGAAAAAAATTATATTAATTCTTAATAATCACTTTCAGAAGACAGAAGCGGAGATAATAATTTCTAACCAATTCTCTGATGCTAGCATTACCCCAATACTAAAAACAGACAAAGACGTTACAAGAAAAGACAACTGCAGACCAATATATCTTATGAATAGAGATGCAAATATTCTCATGAACATTCTAGTAAATTGAATTTGACAATGAATAAAAATAATCACACACCATGATTAAATGGGATTCATTACAGGTATGCTAAACAGTAATAATATTTACAAATTACTTAATGAAATCTAGCATGTCACTGAGCTGAAAAAGAAAAATGACATGATTATATCAATAGATGCAAAAAACAATTTGACAAAATCCAATACCTCTTTATGATAAAAAATTAACAGTAACTAGGAATAGAGGGAAACTTCCTCATCATAATTAAGTTTAATAAACTATTAAAAACACTACAGCTAACATATACTTAATTGTGACAACCTCAAAACTTTCTCACTACAATTAGGAAACAGGCAAGTATGTCCCCTCTCACCACTCCTTTTCAACATCATATTAGAAATCTTTATAATGCAACAGGACAATAAAAGAAAAAATATATATACAGATAGGAAGGGAAGAAATAAAATGGCCTTTATTATTAGATGATATGATCATCTATGAAGAAAATCCAAAAGATTCTACAAAAAAACCTGGAACTAATAAGTGATTATACCAAGGTTTCAGGATATAAGATTAATATACAAAATCTAATTGTTTCCTTATCTAGCGACAAATGAAGAAATGGAATTTAAAATTTAAAAAATTATTTACATTAACATCCTCAAAAATGATAAATGTATAGCTAACAGAATATGTATGCAGTCTATATGAGGAAAAAACTAAACTCTGATGAATGAAGTAAAAGAAAAACATAAATAAAATGATATTTTATTTTCATGGATAGGATGACTCAACATTGTTGATATGTCAGTTTTGCCCAACTTAATCTATAGATTCAGTGCAATTCTTATCAAAATCCCAGAAAATTATTTTGTAGATGTTGTGGGCATTCAACTGACAAACTGAATGTGAAGTTAATATGGAGACACAAAAGATCCAAAATAGACATCACAATATTTAAGAAGAAGAACAAAGTTGAAGGATTAACATTATGCAACTTTACTAAAGCTTTAATAATCAAAACCGTGTGATACTGGTGAAACAATAGACAACTAAATAAATTTAACGGAATTGAGAGCACAGAAATAGACCCAGATAAATGTAGTCAACTGATCTTTGACAAAGAAGCAAAGGCAATACAAGGGAGCAATGATAGTCTCTTCAACAAATAATACTGGAACAACTGAGCATTCTCATGCAACGGAATGAATCTAGTCACAGACTTTATTCCCTTCACAAAAATTAACTGAAAATAAACCACAGACATAAATGTAAAATGAAAAACTATAAAACTTACAGAAGATAACACAGAAGAAAATCTAGAGGACCTTGAATATGGCAATTACTTTTTAGATATAATACAAAAGGCACTATTTATCCATGATAAAAATAACAGATAAGCTGGACTTAATTAAAATTAAAAAAAACCTTCTGCTCTGCAAAGGAAAATATTAAGAGAATGAGAAGATAAATCATGGACTGGGAGAAATGCAAAACACACATCTGGTAAAGGGCTCTCGCCCAAAATATACAAATAACATATAAAACTCAACAATAAAAAGACAAACAACCATTTAAAAATGGGTCCTTAACAGACATCTCAACAAAGAAGATATACAAATGGCAAATAAGCACATGAAAAAATGATCCACATCTTAGTCATCAGAGAAATGCAAATGAAAAGATCAAAGAGATATAGCTACACACATATTAAAATGACCAAAATCCAGAACAGGACAACACAAAATGTGGGTGAGAATGTGGGGCAAGAGGAGCTCCCGTGTATCTATTGCTGGTAAAAATGCAAAATGGTACAGTTACTTTGGAAGATGGTTTAGCTTTGAGTGTGGCAAAAAAAAAATAGTTTTATTTTCAATATTAAACGCACAAATCAGTCGTTAAAAGTTGTAACTTGTTCTCTGCCTTTTGATACAGAAATGATAAAGATCTTATACTTTCTAAAATGATAATGACTAGTGTTTGCTAATTCATTTGTTTTGAAAACTAGGTATAAAAACAGCAGCATCCTGTTTTAAATGTCTTCAGTACAGTCAATATTTTAATTGTTGGAGTATGGATTTCATTTTTGTAAGAAGGCAGCAGACAATTAGATTCAAGGGTGGCGAGTAGTATGTCTTAACAAAGTTGGGAGATATTACTAAAAACAAACTAGAGAACAGTTCAAATTATTTGAAAAAAAGTAACGTTTTTTAAAATTAATTTTTAACTTTTATTTTAGGTTTAGAGTACATGTGAAGGTTTGTTACATAGATAAACACGTGGCACAGGGGTTTGTGGTACATATTATTTCATCACCCAGGTATTAAGCTCAGTATCCAATAGTTATCTTTTTTGCTCTTCTATCTCCTCCCACCTCCCTGCTCAGAGTATCTAAGTATGATTCTTTTGAAATGTATTATTATTTTGATACAAAAAAGATACTGCTATGTGTGTTTACCTGCTTGGATAACACATTCGAATCTTCTTCAAACATTTTATTATTGAATTTTCAGAGACTATATATGCACAGCCCCAATATTCTTATTTTATGGTTCATTTACTGGGATCCTGAGTCATATAGGAATGGTTCAGTGGTAAGTAGCCATATATAAATACTCATCTAATGAGGACTCAATTTATCCCTTCATATTAATCTACTGCTTTCAGTTCTCTTAAACTTAGTATCCAACCACACTGAACACAACCTCTTTCATGCTTCCAGATATTTGCAATGTTTCCAAATTCTGTGGAATAACATTCTTTTTTTATTCATAATATGCTCATAGGGTGATAGTCCAATTATCATTCAGATAAAATTGGAAACTAGTAACATTTTGCATATTATTGAAATTATTGTAGTGTTTGATTCTTTTGTTTCCACTCTATTATTGCCAAGTACCTAAGACAAATAAATTTTTATTTATCTTCTTATACCAGGCCCAACAAATTTCCTGGCACATAATTAAATGTTGAATTTATAGATGAGATGCAACGTCACCACAAATACATAGTTTTATTTAAAAGGTTTTAAACTTTATAGCTGGGTAACATTAATACATGTAATATGCCAATCATTTATTTTCAGAGAAGCCTGTACAGTACTATGCTATTAAGTAATAAATGTTCTACAGCTTTTCAATTGAAAAATGCATTGTAATTGAGTTGTTTTTGCCAGTGTCATTTATTTTTTCTTACTTCATTACATAATATCTATTGGTAAAAGGGACTATACTCACTTTACTAGGTGTCTTGCCTTTATAAGATAAAGTAGGACAGGATGGTAATATTCCCCAGTCTAAAGACAGTAATCTTGAGTAAATGGACCTTGATTTAACAAAATGGACTCAAATTTTATATGGGACCTTAAACAGCACTCTGCATTCCATACGAGCTTATTTCACAAAAAAGGTAAGAAAAAAGATAATATATTTTTTACTATGAAAAATTTATTCAGTCATAAAAAAAGCTAATCCAAAAAGCTAATCATGATAGTTTTGAAAATGTTTTAATATGAATGTAGATTCTGTAGTTCCAAGTCTTCAACTTCTTCCACTTTAAAAAAAATCAAAATGGCTTACACAAAACTGTTTAATATAGTATTTTTATCATTTAGTGACTTCAGTGTGGAGAAGCAATTAATATAGTTAATGGATCCATAGCTCTTAAAAACATTTTATAGATTTTGGCTTCCACTTGTGTCTGGAATCACTTTATTCATGTGCATGTGCAGTTGCTCCAGCAACTGGATAGTTGAAATGAATATCCTTTCTCTTAATTATCTCTGCCCCGCTCTAAAAGATCAGTTTACTATATTTGTGTGGGTCTATTTCTGGCTCTCCATTCTGTTCCATTAATTTGTCTATTCTTTCACCAATACCAACCATATTGTCTTTATTATTGTACTTTTATAGTAAGTCTTGAAGTCATATATCAGTCCCAGCTTTGTTGTTTTTCAATATTGTGTCTGCTATTCTGAGTCTTCTGGCTTTCCTTATAAACTTTATAATCAGCTTGGCAATAACCATAACCAAGTTATGCTGGGATTTTGACTGAAATTGTGATCAATCTATAGATTAATCCGGGAAGAACTAGCATTGTCAGAATATTGAGTCCTCCTCAATATGAACATGGAATACTCTCCATGAACATGAAATATCTCTCTACTTATTTGGATATTCTTTTATTCTTTTCATGAGTGTTTGTTTTATAGATCTTCTCACATAGATCTGGTACACATTTTCTTATACTTACATATAAATATTTTATTTTTATTTTAATGCAAATATTGTTTTTAATTTCCGACTGTTCATTTGTAGCATAAAGTAAGGCAATTGAATTTTGTATATAAACCCTGCACCTTGCAACATGTTGTATTCACTTTGTTCAAGAATATTTTTGTGTTTATTTTTTGGGCTTTGCGGCATAGGTAATTATGTCATCTATGAACAAAGAGAGTTTTATTTCTTCCTTTCCAATCTATATATTTTATTTCTTTTTATTGTTTTATTATTTTAGCTAGGACTCCTAGTGGGATATTGAATAAGAGTAATGAGAGCAGACATTCTTGCCTTATCCATTTTAGAGAGAAATAACCTAGTTTTTTTAAATCATTAAATATGTTGTTAGCTGAAGGTTGATAGTATATGCTTTTTAATCAGGTTTAGGAAGTCCTCCTATATTTCTAGTTTGGTGAGAGTTTTGTTGAAAAATGGATGCTAAATTTTGCCAAATGCTTTTCCTGCATCTGTTTATCTGATAATGTGATTTATCTTTTTCAGTCTGATGATATGATGGATTCCATTAATTGATTTATAAATGTTGAAACTTCCTTGCATATCTTTAATGAATCCCACTTAATCATGGTATAGACTTATTTTTATACATCACTGGATCTGATTTACTAGAATCTTGGTGAGAATTTTTGGATCTACATTTGTAAGAGATTTTGGTCTGTAGTTTACCTTTTCTCTATATCTATCTTTTATAGATATAGACAAAATTAGATAATTTATTTCTCTTTGAATGAGTTTTGGTGGATTTTGTCTTTCAATAGGTTGGGTAATTTAACTAATTTATTGAATTTGAGAACATAGTTTCCTGTATTTCTTTATTATCTTTTCAATGTCCATGGCATCTGTATTGATGACCACATTTTATTTTTGACATCAGTAACTTGAATGTTCTCTCTTTTTTTCCTTTTAATTGTCATGGCTAGAAGTTTATCCATTTTATTAATCTTTTAAAGAACTCACTTTTGGTTTTATTAATTTTTTATTGATTTTATTGTGTAATTCTTATTAATTTTTGTTCTAATCATTATTTCTTTTCTTCTCTTTACTTTGGATTTAATTTTATCTTCTTTATCCCACTTCCTGAGGTGTAAACTGAAATTATTTCTTTTAGACATTTTCCTAATATATGCATTCAATGCTACAAATTTCCCTGTAAACATTGCTGTTGCTATAACCCACACATTTTGATTATTTCTATTTTCATCTTTATTTAATTCAAAAATTTTTTTTACTTTTTTGACACTTCTTTTTGTCTTAGGTGTTATTTAGAAGTGCCTCTGCTTAATCTAATCAAAATATTTTGGGATATTTTAGATCTCTTTTCATTATTGTTTTGTAATTAATTTCATTATGATGTGAGAGCATACTTTGTATGCTTTCTGTTAGTTTAAATTTGCTGTTTATTTTTAATGACCCAGAATGTGGTCTGTCTTGATTAATGTACCTTGATAGCTTGAGAATAATATATTTTCTTGGTGCAGGATGAAATATTCTGATGCCAGACCTAGTTGACTTATTGTGTTCTTCATTATAACTGTATTTTTACTGATTTTCTGGCTTCTGAATCTGTCAATTACTAATTGAAGGACATTAGAAGTCTTCAACTTTAATGGTAAATATGCCTATCTACTTGCAGTTCTACTAGTTTTGGCTTCACATATTTTGACACTAGTTTTTGAACATACACATTAAGAATCTGTATGTCTTCTTGGACACTTTGCCTTTTATTACTGATAATACTTTCTATCTCTGAAGTCTGCTTTGGCTGCAATCAATATGGCTCCTCCAGCTTTCTTTTTATTAAAGAAAGGGATGCCTCTCCCTATCCCTTTACTTTCAATCTACCTGTGATTTTATATTTACTGTGAGTTTCTTGGAGACAACATACAGTTGAATCTTTTTGTTTTTATTTTCGTGGATTTTTAAAATCCACTCTCTTATTCTCTATTTTTTAAATAGAGTATTTAGACCTTTCATATTTAAATGATTATTGATAAATTGTATAGATGATTAAGTTTCCATTTTTGTTGTTGTATGTCATGGTGAAAAAGCATACCTGGGATGTGACTTTTAGAAATGTGTTTCATTTTTTTCTCCCTGTAAGTGAAAGAGGAAGATAGAGTAGCTGGAGTTGAGCCATTATCTTTCCCCTGATCAGATACAGTTCTAGTCGTTTACTTTTAGAGTTGGCCCTTTGTTCTCTACCTCAATTCAGAAGCATGAGGGAATTCTCTTCTGCTCTTCAAAGTGAGAAACTGATGGGAAACCTGGAGGTAAAATGCAGGTAAGTGTGGGGATTCCAAGATTGGGCCCTTGCCCCAGAGTTTTTAATTCTCAAGCTAGTCCAAATTCTGCCTCTCAGAATTATCAGTTAATATTCCTTTCAATGAATGAACGGAAAACAGAGAAATAGAGATTGCATTTTCACTCTTTTGAATTAGGATTAGTTGGTTAAAGACTGTCTTAAGTAATGAAGGCCCTCATGTGGAAATGAATAAGAAGTATTTGTGTTATATATAGTTTAATCTTCCAAAACACAATGCATGACTTAGACAGAGTCCTGGTCAAACTGATTTGATGCTAGGGTTATAAAGTCTTGAACTTTTAATGGCTTGACTTCAGATTAACAAGGAGGGTCAAATGTAAGGAATAAAACATCATGCCTTAGCTTGAATACTGGTTAGAGTTTCTGCTACATGGCCAGCTGGGTTACACTTAAGGATAAAATTGTTCTAGAAGATCAATTAATTGCACTTTTGAAACTACGATGAGGGATCAAAGAAAAAAAAATCTATCAAACAGAAATTTTGGCTTTTTTCCACAAGTTAAAAGAGGATATTCATAGGGGTAGAAAATCTTGTAATTTGGATGTTACCAGTGAAAATTTGTCTGGGGAGTAAAGAGTTTAGGAACGTATATTCCCTGATGTCTAATACTGACTTTTAAGTTCTATACTGGTTCTGAGCTTTAGTCATCCTTCATTATCTACAAACATTCAGTAAAATTATGTTGCCTTCCAAAAAAATTACATTCTTTTCAACTAGGTAAGTGAAGGCACAAAGGCAGGTATTGAATTAAGCATATATTAGGAAATAACAAGGATATATCAGAAATGTGAAGTGTTGATTGACCAGGCCAATGTTTGTAAACACTCATCATTCCACCAATAGCCCAATGCTGCATTTAACAAGAAACAGTAAGTGGAGAAAGGTTCTGGAATGTGGAAACTAGTAATTTTATTGGAGTATTAAAGGAAAGGATGCCTACAGCATACAGGAGCATTTAGGAAAAACTGAGTAACTACATTAACTATAGTAATTGTCAAGATTTTAGGAGAATCTTGAGTTCATAGTATTTTTCAGAAACTGGATATTTACTATCAAGTATCTGGTGAAAACTGTAGTCCAATAGAAGAGATTGAAAAATACAGAATTTACAACAGTTCAATGTGGAGTATAAAAATGTAGTTAGGAGAAGAATAATATATTCAATTTTGAATATCTGTGTGGCTCAGGATAAATTCACAGCAAAAGTTTTTTGTATTGGATACAAGTTACTGAACTTGGAGATATTCCAGTTATGGGTGACCAAACCCTCTGACCTTAAGGGCTAAGATTTTATTTAGAAGAGAGTAATCGATCATGATAAAGCCATGATACATAAGATTAAGAATGAGTGAAAGATAGGTTGATTGATACGTAAAACAGATACATAAGATTGAGTGAAGACATGAAAGTAGCAGCTGTATAAAACTTTTTTAAAAAAATAGGATATCGTTTAGGTAGTTCTCTTAGACTAGGATAGATGTGTTTATAATTTTGGATTCACAACAAGGAGCTAATAGAAAGTTAGAAAATGAAGCAAGAAATCACTCTTAAAAGGCTAAAAATTATCTCACTTGGTCTTACTTGGTTTTTACTTGAGTTTTGTGCTTTTGGATAGAATTCATGTATTATTTACATATTTCTCATATATATATTTGTGTGTGTAATATAGAACATACATACCTACAAGCATGTAGAGGCATATATAATGACTACAAAATGGTATGAAAACTTGAATCAACTATATGGGAAAAGCGCAAAAATTATTAGTGGTCTAAAAACATAAACTTTAAAAAGCAATACTTTTACATTTGTCCATAATGGTCATAAATAAGTCATAGATATCTCTGGGTAAATACATCACACTTTTATAAATCACACTCAAATTCTTCCTACCTGATATAGGTTTCAGGTCATACTTTAGTTTACTTTGTAATTGAAAGTTACTATAACATAGAATTTTTAGTATAGTTTTTGAAATAAACATAGGACTTTGCCTATTTTAGACCTAGTAAGCATGACTTATGACTACATTGTATAATTGCAAATTGTTCTTTATGATGATGAATTTTACAAGGCTCTAAGATAGTTCAAAGTAAAATATGTAGTTCAAGTTTTACCCATTGAAAAAGAAGGTATTTGCCATTATATTTCTTTGCTTTTATTCTCTTTGGGGATGTCATGGAGATCAGGAAAACTAATTAGTGAAAGGTTAGTTCAGGTGTTCACATGCTGGCTTGTCATTAATCTTTTATAAGTACTCAATGAACACTCAGATTACTCAATCAAAAGTGTAAAAAAGGTTGCTTTTAAATTCCAGCAGTCTAACATTCTGAAATGAGGAAGTGTGATTATGTGTATGTTTTTAGTTACTGCTACTTTGAAAGAATTTTAGTTTACTCTATGTCTCAATTAACAACGGCAAAAAAAAGGTATACTAAATGGTAACATTGTTGTTTCGTGTTAATTTTATTTACGTTTCATAAGAGGACTATAAGCAGAATGTTGCATTTCAGCGTAGTATCCCTTCTACCACAGGAATAATTATACTGCTTTGAAATTTGTGAAACAGTTCCTGTAAAGGTGTAATTCCAAAAACATTTAGAGAGTATGGAAAGAAGATGCTGCAAATTTTAAAACGAATGTTCATCTTTTCTAGTTCGGGTAATTAGGAGTTTATAAGTGGCATGTCCTAAAGTGAGAAAAAGATAGAAAATTTTGTAATTAATTTTCCATTTTCATCATAATGTACTTTTTAAAATCATGCAAAATAGTTTCAATTTCTATAGAATATTCTCTAGGTGTAAGAAACTATTTAGAATACATTCTTGCATTCAGTTCCTAGATTTGTTAGATTCCATTAGGCATACTTGTAAAATGTTTCATTTAAACCAGAATACATATCGTGTGTTGTATATATATGTGTAGGAAATCATACAAAATCAACACCAAATGTGATTTACGCACAGGACTTCCCGTCTTATCATCAGTTTTAAACAGCTGCATTGTTTTCACTGAATATGTGATTAAGGACTTTACTCAGTAAAACTCTGATTCAAACTCTAAAATCCACGTCTCTGCTACAGTTTGAATGAATGCGTCCTCCCAAAATTCATAGGTTGGAACCTAAACTTCAAGATGGTGGTATTAAGAGGTGAGGTCTTTGGGAGGTGACTAGGCTTTGAAGGCTCCACCCTCATAGATTGGATTAGTGCCCTTACAAAAGAGCTGGAGGGAATGAGTTCTACCCTTTTGTCCTTTTTGTCCTTCTGCAAAAGGAGGATGCAGTAAGAGGCACCATCTATGAAACAGAAAGCAAGACCTCACCAGACACCAAATCTGCTGGCACCTTAATCTTGGACTTTTCGGCCTCCAAAAATGTGAGAAATAACTTTCTATTATTTATAAATTACCCAATCTAAGGTATTTTTTTATAGCAGCATGAATGGACAAGACACTAAGACAGTGTCATAACTCTAACATAGGCCAATTGAAAATAGGTGCAGAATTCCCTCCTAGGAGTGTCTTGAAGAAACCTTCCTGTTAGGTAAAGCCAAACTTCCCATCTCCAGGTGAATGAGATTTTCTCTAGTGCATTTTGCTGAAATGGTGTTAGGTGCAAGCTCCTCTTTTCTTTCTCCCTCCTAAAGGAGACATCTTGGGATTGTGTGCCTTCTACCTGTCCCACAGATCTGTATCTTGTGCTGAGAATTGCTCTCCCCTTTTGCCTAGGACAGTGCACTGAGGTATAGCAATGATTGCTGCAATCTCCACTTTTCCTTCTCCCTCTTGAAGGTGCAGTCTCAGAGTTGTGCACCTTCTCCCAATCCTGCAGTCGAGCCAGCTGCTGATGTCTACATTGGCTGCTGAGATATATATGCTGTCTGTGTGGGCACATGCGTACTGTCTGTGGGGGCGTGCACTCACAGGTGGGTGCCCAGAAAGCATTCATTGCTGGTGAGCATGGGGCACTGACTATGGGGCTGCATAGGGTTCCAGCTGTGGGTGCTGGCAGTAGAAGTTTGCATGGGCCAGCTGTTGAGGTCCACAGTTTGGCTGCTTGGCTGATGGTTCTTGGTCAGCCTGGCTGGTTGACAGGGTTAGCAGACAGGTTGTTGAAAGCCAGGCACCAGGTGTTGTTAGCTCCCACAAATTCATTGCACCCAGGTGATCTAGCTATGCCAGTTTCCTCAGTGTTCTTGGTAAGGTAAGCAGAAATGAACCTCTCAGCCAATGTCCCAAAAGGCTGGCAAAGTTGGATGATCACTTAACTCTTTGTTTATCCTGTAGGCAAAATCTCAGGCCAAGAAGGCCTATCTCAGCACTGATTAGTGCTTGCCTGAGGAAGAGGAGACCTGGGTAAAGTGAAAGAGTTCTTTCTTTCCTTTTCAATGTGACTATTCTCATATGTTGTGCTCTACTGGTATCCTGAAAACATCTCAACTGGATTCTGAAATCCTCACTATGGTATTTTTATCCATGAATGATTGTTAAATTGGTGTTTCTGAGGAGGCCAAAAACTAGGACCTCCTATTCTAACATCTTGCTCATGTTTCTTCCTTAAACTATTATATTAAAAAAATAAGATATATTTGCTACAATAGGGACTCTGCACATTGCAGCATTTTGCTTGCCTTGGCCTATTCTCAACCTTTGTCCAGCTCTGCTCTTTCTTTGGTATTGCCGAACAATTGTTTATGGTCTGCCACTGGCATAACATGAAAAATACGAAGGTGGCAGCCTGAATGTAAATTGACACATTGCATATATAGTCCTTAATTGTTGTAATTATATCGGTTTCTCTCTTTAGTTCATTTCTAGATATAATGCAGAAATGAGGAAAATGATCACTCAAGATAGCCCCTAGATACTTGTTATTGTTCACTATGATCATGAGATACATTCCTTCCTCAAATGATTAGCAAATTAGTGGGAATGATAGGGTCAGCTACTGCCTCAAATCCAGGTCAGAATCATATTCTGAAATTAGCTTATGAGTGCCTCCTGTGAGTATAGGAGTAGAGAACAAAGTTACATCAAAATAACTGCAGGGGAACTATTCATCTATTTTTAATCTTCCTGAGACATCTCTTCACTGTTATACTGGGGACTCAAACATGCCATTCTAAACATTTAGAGGAAAAGATAGACAATTTGTATATGAAAAATATCCATGTAAGAATGTCTTCTCTAAGCAGAATATACTCATTTCAAAAAGTACTGTCTCATCTCCTTTTTATTGGAATATTTCCTGGGAAATGAATATTTTAATTCCTTTTCTCAACAAATATTGAGTAAGTGCTAACTCTGTCACCCAGACTGTTCTTGGCACTTTAAGATTTATTAGTGAACAAAACAGACTAACTTCATTGGTCACATGGTGTTTGCTTTTCAGTGGGTCATGGGTGCAGCAAGATAAGGAGACAGACAGAAATCACAAATAATAATGATAATAAATTTTTGGTATTTTAAATGCTGAAAAGTTATCTGGTTGAAAATAAAATAGAAAAGGGAACTAGAGGTGTGCAAAGGAGTATTCCAGTGAGTGAGTGGGAGACTACCAAGTAGGAGATGAAGTTAGACATTCAGGGTGTTATAATCTTTAGCTTTATTTGAGAGAGATTAGAAGTCATTGGAGGATTTTGAGTGCAGGATTAATATAATATACCTTCTATTTTAATAAGATCAAGTTAACTACTTCATTAAAATACACTACAAGAAAGAGAAGTTCTAGATGTCCAGTTGGAAAACTGTTGTGGTAATTTAGGCCAGAGATGATGATAAGTTGAACTGGTTGTGGCTGTGGAGGTGCTGAGAACTAGTTTTATCTTGGATATGTTTTGAGACATATCAGCATTTTTTTATCCTTTGTTCAAGCCACTTGATTAGGCTACCTTCAGGAAGATCTGAGTCCCTTTTAAGGGTTCACCTAATTAAGAGAGGTCCAGGATAATCATCCTTTCGATGAACTCAAAGTCAGCTGATTTGGGATATTAACTATATCTGCAAAACTGCATCTTTATAATGTAACATAACCTAATCACTGGAATGAATTGTATCATTTTTACAGTGATACCCTTGTTTAAGGGAACCAGATTTGGTGGTGATCTTAGGGCCAACCCTTGTTTAAGGGAACCAGATTTGGTGGTGATCTTAGGGCCATTTGTGAATTTTGTCTTTCACACTCTCCAAAACAAAATGTAATAAGTTTTTGAGTATAAGTGATGTTACCTTTTATCTACTTGGTTTAGGATCTTAAGTTTTTCCAAACATCTTAGTTAAACTTCTGTCTAATATTCTGATGCATAATATTGTGAACAATGTTGTTGGTCATTGCTAACAACCAGCAGTGTTTGTTGAGCACTAGTAGAGATGTAGAATGCCTATGAATGTTCAAACTCTTATCTAAATTGCCACGTGATACCCCTAAGAATGTGATCTATTAATGCCATTATTTAACCAGATGACTGTAGATATTATCGCTCTTGAGCTCTCAAGCAGCAATGATGTGCTACCATCATCAGAGCCATTATTGCACACCTATACAGTAATCTCTGGACAAGCTAAGCCCACATGGTGGGCCTCTTAAGTCACATGAGATACTTGAGAAAGTCTAATAATCTCTGAACCTATGTTATGAGTGTAGTATATGTATTAGTCTGTTCTTCATTGCTATAAAGAAATACCTGAGACTGGGTAATTTATAAAGAAAAGAGGTTTAATTGACTCACAGTTCTGCAGGTTGTTCAAGAAGCATTGTGGCTTCTGCTGCTGGGGAGGCCTCAGGAAGCTTCCAATCATTGCAGAAGGCAAAGGGGAAGTCAGGGGGTCTCACATGGTGGGAGCAGGAGCAGAAAGAGAGCAAGGCGGAAGGTGTTACACACTTTTAAACAACCAGATCTCATGAGAACTCACTATCACAAGAACAGCACCAAGGGAATGGTGCTAAACCATACATGAGAAACACCTCCATGATCAGTTACCGCCCACCAGTCCCCAAAAGTGGGGATTACAATTTGACATGAGATTTGGACAGGGACACAAATCCAAACCATATTATATGGCAATAGAGTCAGTCATTTTCTACTCCACCTCACTCACAAATCCTTGATTTATATATTTTGGGAACACAGTGAGGATTTAAGCTGGGCCAGGTGAGATCTGGACAGGGACACAGATCTAAACCATATTATAAGGCAATAGATGCCATCATTTTCTACTCTACCTCACTCACAAATCCTTGATTTATATATTTGGAGAACACAATGAAGATTTAGGGCTGGGCCAGGTGGAGTAGGTAAACAGTAGAAAATATATAATCAGAATACCATAAATGATGCTTTCTATTGCCCATTTTGAAGAAACACACTTATGTGTCCACTCTGGAGTGTGGAATTGAGAACCCTATCAGTAGATTATTTTTCTCCCCATGGAGCATCTGTGCCCCTTACAAATAAAACGTGGTCATGTCTTTCAGTGTCTCTGGATTCTTTGACTTTTCATCTCTTTCACAAAGTGAATTTATGACCTGACTACAAGGACTCTCATCTATAACAACTAAAATTAAGTTGTTTGCTTTTCCTGATAGACAAAAACAAAAAGCAATTTATCTCAAAGACAATCTTCACTATCATAAGCTATGATCAAACTCAGTATAGGCAAGATTTATTGGATGATAATGCTCACTAGTTTTGACTTTTATGAAAGACTATAGTATTCAACACTTTATTCTCTTACTCATTTTGCTAATTTTAGAAACTTTTATCCTTGCCATCGATATATGCTTCTCTTTATTATACTATCTAAAGGAGCAGATGCAATATAATTCCAGGCCAATTATCTAAAAGGTAAGATCTGAATTTTAAAAGGGGCCTTGAAAGCTTTCTGACTCACCATGAGCATAATAATATTTTTTATGTATAGTGTTGCATAGAGCAAAATTTTGTGGGTACTGCTCTAAATGCTTAGTAAATATGATTTTATTTAATGCCATTAAGTATTTATAAATTGAGAATTCTCTTATTAACCAATTTTTACAGATTCAGAAAGGCACATGAAGATTAAGATACTTAGTCAATCATACAGTTTGCTTCCTTTTAGTGCTGGGGTGTGATACTGGTCACCACACTCAGACACATCTCTCATCAATGAGAGATCAGATGACAAACCACAATCACTGGAGGCAACAAGCCCTGGGTTCATGTTTCCTCAAGATGAACACTAAAAAGGAGTGACTGGAGGACATAAAAAATCTATAGTAAAAGGGCAAAAGCCAAAAGCCAAATCCCCCTACTTCATCACTTTTTTAAGGGAAGGATCTTTATATATCTCAGAAAATTGTCTCATGCTTCTTGAGAAGTGTTTCATTGTGTGCTGTTATAAAGAATGTTTGAAAAGCCTCTGAGAAAATACAGTGGTGGAGATCAGCTCATAGTTTATTTTTCTCTTTGCCTGTATTCATGATTCATTAGCTACTTTGACCAAAATATCTCTTGAGGTGACACTACACATTTCCTTCTAAGAGATATGCTGTTGAGCTATTTTAGCAAGAAAACATGTTAACCTCTCACATTTTATAAATGTGTTGTTTCACTACGAATTTTTTCATATTATTTTTTATTTACTACACGCATGTGCAATATAAAGAAAATGGTTTTATTTGCTTTGCCCTCTGTATGTCTATCTTATAGTTTTCTTTTTGTAAGAAAATAATGATTATGATTGCCTTATCAACAGTTATAATTCAAAGAACCAGACTGTTTATTGTAATCTAGACTCATTATCTAAACCTTCTCTGATACAAACCAATTTGTAGTCAGAGGTGATGACAAAGTGATAGTGGTAAAAATAGGAAGTTACAGAATGCTTGATAAGTTTGCTTTCTGGTGTCTTTTGACAAGATTGAAATGCAGAAAGTTAGTAAGAGGTAAGGTAAGGAGTCTAGGCTGTTTAACTCTCACTTTATAAAGCAATAGTGTTATAATTACACTGTATTCAGTGTGGATTACTAACAGTAATAACAATAAAAGTATAATCCAATGGCAAAAACCTGAGTAGTTAGAAGTTCTAATTACCCCCGTCTTGACATGCTTTTCATAGAATACCACACTATTCCTTGATGATGAATCCTTTTTCTCTCCTCAGACATCACCATCAGATTTTTTTTCATTCAACAGTTATTATTCAAATTTTGAGATGGGAAGGTACGAACTCTTCTACTTTATAACATCTTGAAATCGCAAAAAAAAAATTATTAAGAATGACTAATTCTAAAACTGGGTAATTTGAAAAATATGTAAGGCATGACTAAGTCTATGTCTTTTTGTTGATAAATAGGTTTTCTAATTTAATTCCACTATACCCCAACTAGTTATTAACAAATAATGATTAACTTTACAGCCAGACTGATTAAAAATGAGTAACATCAACATAACACCTTTGAATTTAAAGGTACATTAAAAGTTTTAGGCATATATACAGAGGGACAGAACAATATTGCACTATCTTTGCAAAGAGTTTTCACATTTATTATATAAATTGCTTTTGAAAATACACGTCTGAGGTTGAAAAATGATTTCTACTCTTCTTTTTCTGAAAATCAAAAAGACTAAAACTCAGACAGGTTAGAATATTTGCCCAAGACAACATAAATGTTAGAGCTGTAAATAAAGTCCATGTCTCCTGAGCTTATATCAGGTGCAGGTTACACTGTGCTATGCTTGCAAAATAAATTATTGATGTATAATAGTAAACTCATTAAATCATTAAAACATTCAATAAATATTTATTGAATATATGCCAGATATAGGTTTTGTGCTTACACAAAAGATAGAACAAAATCCTTACCCTCATGGAACTAAAATTCTTATGGGGGAGACAGCTAATTAACAAACTAATATATCTATTACAAAATATGAAGTTGTAAGCACTAAGATGAAAAATAAAACATCATACAAACTGGCTATCATATTTCATATCTTAAAAATATTACCTTCAGCTCATCTCTACTTCCAGCCACCAAGCCACTTTTGCTCATTTTTATAAAAAAATCTCCCCAAAGTGTTGGATATTGTTAATGGAAACTGATTGCTTCTTATTCCTGATGTTTCCTTCCTCTGAAAGGAGCTTTGCTAGTGAGAGACAGGACTAGCTGGATTTCCTAGGCCAACTAAGAATCCCTAAGCCTAGCTGGGAAGGTGACCACACACACCTTTAAACACGGAGCTTGCAACTTAGCTCACACCCGACCAATCAGGTAGTGAAGAGAGCTCACTAAAATGCTAATTAGGCAAAAACAGGAGGTAAAGAAATAACCAATCATCTGTTGCCTGAGAGCACAGCAGAAGGGACAATGATCAGGATATAAACCCAGGCATTTGAGCCGGCAACGGCTACCCTCTTTGGGTGCCCTCCCTTTGTATGGGAGCTCTGTTTTCACTCTATTAAATCGCAACTGCACTCTCTTCTGGTCCGTGTTTGTTACGGCTCGAGCTGAGCTTTAGCTCGCCATCCACCACTGCTGTTTGCCACAGTCGCAGACCCACTACTGACTTCCATCCCTCCGGATCTGGCAGGGTGTCCCCTGTGCTCCTGATCCAGCGAGACAACCATTGCCACTCCTAATTGGGCTAGAGGCTTGCCATTGTTCCTGCACGGCTAAGTGCCCGGGTTCATCCTAATCGAGCTGAACACTAGTCACTGGGTTCCACGGTTCTCTTCCGTGACCCATGGCTTCTAATAGAGCTATAATAGTCCCTGCATGGCCCAGGATTCCATTTCTTGGAATCCGTGGGCCAAGAACCCCAGATCAGAGAACACGAGCCTTGCCACCATCTTGGAAGCGGCCCATCACCATCTTGGGAGCTC
Organism: Homo sapiens; assembly: GCF_000001405.40. Lineage (NCBI taxonomy): Eukaryota > Metazoa > Chordata > Mammalia > Primates > Hominidae > Homo > Homo sapiens. The sequence goes on along the minus strand of NC_000006.12, from coordinate 102,921,365 downwards.
TGAGATCAAGGACCCCCTGGTAACACTAGTGTAGTTTCTAGATTCTCTCTGTCTCTTTTATTCCACCTGTGGAAAAATGTTCTGATTTATCTAATTTGGGACATACATTACCCTTTTCCTTTACTTGAGAGGTGGGTGGTTTGCTGGATTCTTCCATTCCACTAGTCTTTCAGGAGACCATTTAGAACAACATAGGAGTGGGTATCTAAGTCTGTGTATGATTATGAGATTCACTTAGAAAATTTATCTGACCAACACATATAAAGCCACATAATCACTATAGTGAAGCAGCATCGCTGTCTCGGCTAAATACCCAGGCTTCATCATCTCGTGCCAAGAAGATTAAGGACACAGACACACAGGAGGAGTGGGTTTAGGAGTGGAGGTTTTAACAGGCAAAAAAAAAAAAAAAAAAGAAGAGCTGTCTCCCTTGTGAGAGAGAAGGACTTCTGAAAGGAAAATGAGGCCGCGAAGAGATTGCACTGGATTTTATAGGCAGGCTTGAGGAGGCAGTGTCTTATTTACATAGGACCCACAGATTGGACCAGGCGTGATGTCTACATAGCGCACAGGTAAGGCTGGCCACCTCACCCTAATTTTATTATGCAAATGAGCTTTAAATTTGGCCGGTGCCATCTTGTCTGCTCCTTACTATACACGTGGCTGGCAAAGAGAAGGGAAAATGGAGCCGCCATTTTGAACATGCCTAGTCCGAGGTAGCCTTTTCCTATTGGCACAACTGCTGACATTCAGCTGCAGCTCGATTTTGCAGGCTGCTCTTTGTTAGAAAAGAAAATGATTTGGGGGCTGGTTTTCATTAAAAGGAAAACCTTATTGAGGACTCCGGTAGGTACCCTCACTATCTGCCTAAATAATTTCTTCTTAACTCGTACATCAAAAGTTTTAGAATCACTAAAGAAACTACTTTGGTTATCTGTCAGCTATCCTTGTTTTACTTATCAATTTGCTCAGAATCCAAATGAGAAAGAGAATGCTCAGAAATTTTATTATCTATTTAGCTGTCTTTGTTTTCTTTCATCCCATTCTCTCTCTTGATCGTGTTCCACTAGGGATTTCACCACCATTAACCCATTTATGCTGCTCCTGTCAAACATATCAGTGCATTCTGCAATGCAAAATCCTTGTTCCAATCTAATGCCTAACCTTACTCATTGTTTCAGCTGCATTAAATAGAGTTGCTTACTTCCTACTTTTTTAAACACTATCTCTATTTGATTTCTGGGGTTCCACACTAATCTGGCTTTTCTTCTCCCTCACTGGATCTATTTCTCAATTTTTTCTGCTGATCCTTGTTACTCTCCAATTTGAAGTATGTAGTGCCTTAGGCTCAGTCATGCCCTCTTCTCTTCTCTACTTACATTTACTCTGCAGGTGATGCCATTCAGCCACAAGACTTTAAATACCATTGTATGCTCATTACACCCCCATTACTGTCATCAACACTATCTCCTCCCCTGAATTCTGAAGTCTAACTCAATGGTCTACTGGACATCTCCATTTGCAACTCGATAGCATCTCAAAAGTAACACTTGGAAACTCTACCCATTCCCAACACTTTCTACTCAAACCTGGCTTGCTTGCTTTCTTTCCCTTCCTTCCTTCCTCCCTCCCTTCCTTCTTCTCCCATTCCTTCTTTCCTTCCCTCCCTCTCTCCTTCCCTTTCTTCCTTTCTTCCCTCCTCCCTCTCTTTTTCTTTTCTTTTTTCTCTTCACACTAATCTTTAAAATTTAAATAAACTTTATATTGTATATTTTTAATATTATTGAAGAATATTCTCTTCTACTATAAAAATAAGAAAAGCAAACATGCTAGAATAGATAAAACTAAGTTATAGAAGTAGGAAGCTTGGGACGTGCTAGACACACATAATTTGATTAGAATATATTTGTACTGAACATTAATAGAAAGGGATGAAAGGACATAGAAGTGACAAATGTTCATAATACACTTACATAGCATGCATGGAGCACCGGATGATAATGACACACCAAAAACACAAGTCACATAAGAAAATATTTATCCATTTGTGATCCGTATTCTGGCCATATCCGTTCTAGCTCCAAGTACTCTCTACCTCATGGTACACATAGTTGGTCAGCAGTTACTTTTTTACACCTGTATGTCACTCATATAGATAGTATATATTGGCTCCAGCCATCTTCCATCTGATAAACCCTTTATTTTCACCTCAATTCACCATTAGCAGAGACAGCTGATGTGTCAGAGGAGGCACATATGAACATGGTGGCTAACCAAAGATCCAGGTGGCAAGGCATTTCTGCCACATGTGCACCCTGTTCTACTTATTTTTTCTCTGCCCCTCTGCATTTTTGCTTTACCTTTTAAGTTCATTCAATAAATTGTGTGACTTATGCATCCTAATTGCACTGTGAGCCTTTCTATTTTGTGAACTCTGGAGTAGCTTGATTGGAGTATATGTACAGGCTGTGGTTGCATCAGTGTAATTTCTCACATGACAGACCTTCTCACATGATGATCAACTGCAATGTCTCCTATCACTTGTCATTACAATATAATAGATTTGTTACTGCAACTTTGGTGGTGCTCTTTGTAGAAAAAGAATATTAAAAAACTAATGTTAACAGAACAAAATTGATCATTTAAATTATCAAGTAAATTGGTCTAACCTAATATTTTTCAATGAAAAAATGAAAGATCTTTGCTTTGACAACTATATATTTTCTTTCCAATTAAATAACATTCATATTGCAGCATATTGTTATTTAGTAGGTTAGCATACGCTCTAGGAACACTAATAAATCTAGCATAAGGATAGATTGGGGCACACTGTGAGAGAAAAGCATCGCGAATGGCCCAAGGCACTGACTATACTAGCTTAAGTTACAAGCCAAGAACAGGTTTTAAAAATACACACAGTGGAACAGCTGTTTTTTCTATATTGATCTTTGCAAAGAGAAGTTGAGATGGCAATAAAACTGTGTGTGCATGTGTATTACACTCATATGTACAATTACAGCAAGGACGTAGATTCACATTGCTTAAAACTACTTGTTACTATTTAGCTAGGCAAGGCTGGAGAGAGCAGTATTTACGAAGGGTGGAAGTGCCAAGTTCATGATACGAAGGAAGCAAGAACACTTCGGATTGTGGAATGTAGGATATGGTTTAAGACATCTGTAAACAGAAGATAGTGTTTCTCAATCAAAGGCAAAGAAAAGAAAGACAGAAAAGAAAGAAGAAGGAAAGGAAGGAAGGAGGGAGGGAGGGAAAGAGAAAGAGGGAGGGAGGGAGGGAGGGAAAGGAAGAAGGGAGGGAGGGAGAGAGAGAAAAAGAAAGAAGGAAAGGAAGGAAGGAGGGAGGGAGGGAGGGAAAGAGAAAGAGGGAGGGAGGGAGGGAAAGGAAGGAGGGAGGAGGGAAAGGAAGAAGGGAGGGAGGGAGAGAGAGAAAAAGACAGAGAAAGAAAAATGGAAGTCAGTGAAGAAAGAAGGAAAGAAGAGAGGAAGGGAGGAAGAGACTGCAGACATTGTCTACCTTGCAGTGATTGCTTCTGACTCTAAATGCCCTGAAAAAACAGAATACATCTTTATTCTTGTTTGAGTGAATAAACTCCTCAGTTGACAAAACTTGACTTAGTTGATGAAACTTAAGACTATTAAATCATAACGTCATTTTTTTCTCTCTCTCTCTTGATACAGATAATTTTGAAAACTATTGTATTTTGAATGTATAATGGACTTACATTTTATCCTTGCCTCTTTTCCATCTGCCCCCGATGTCTGCCTTTGGGCCATTTCACTGCTCATTAACACCTCCAGCCCTGTGGCTAAACTACTAGGGAGGGAGATTAAACCAAAAACCTTCTGTACCAAGAGCCTTGGATAAATGGAAGAAAACAATAGAAGTTATCACTGGAAAAGTAAATTTTAGAAATAAATATGTCGTTCAATTCTCCTGAATTGTTTTTCCCTAATTCTGTAAGCATTTGACAAATTCTTGCATTAATATTTTATTCAATTTTCTATACCTTTTTTCTCCACAATTTATAACCTTAGCAGAGGGACTGTGCATGGGTTCTCAGTGAGACCAAACTGGATTGCATTCACTGATTCACTGACATCAAGCATTAGGGGTGTGACCTGAGAAAGTTAATCAAACATTCTAATTCTCAGTTTTATTTCTAAAATGTATACCTGAACATACTGTGACAAATTTGATGGCATTTGCAACAGATCTCCTAAACAAGCCAACATAATTTAGGGCTCAAAACATGACAGCGACTTACCTTCCTTTCTGTCATTCTTTGTCCAAGCAATAGGAGTAAAATTTAACATTTTACTTCTGTTTTACTTTATTCATCTTTTTAAAAAAACGTTTTAAGGATGAGACTACTAGTTGAGGATAGGACTCCTTTTAAATTTTTAAGGATAAGACTCCTAGTGTTCTATGCCGATGTATAGACTTGAGCAAATGATGGGCATAATACACCCAAGTCTTTTTAAACAAAATACATTTTGAGATCTCATGCCATGGATTAAGGCTGTTTTATACAAGATAATTTAAAAGAAGATTTTCATTCTGAAGACCGTGACAAAAATACATTTTCTGTCAGAAATTGATTAATACTACAGAGAAGAAAATCGTTTGTGAGTCCTTGGATAAACAATTTAATGTATTCTATAAATACTCTGTTTTTAAAAATATCAAATTGTGATGCAAAATTTTATGGATGTTATATTTGTTTTAATTTTATTGAATATGTTTTGTTTAATTTTAAATAAAATTTTAAATCTAATGCCACACATCAACAACCATCTGATCTTTGACAAACCCAACAAAAACAATCAATGGGGAAAGGATTCCCTATTTAATAAATGATGTTGGGAAAATTGACTAGCCATATGCATAAAACCGAAACTGGACCCCTTCCTTACACCTTATACAAAAATTAACTTAAGATGGATTAAAAACTTAAACATAAGACATAAAACCATAAAAACCCTAGAAAAAAACCTAGGCAATACCATTCAGGACCTAGGCATGGGGAAAGACTTCATGCCTAAAACACCAAAAGCAATGGCAACAAAAGCCAAAATTGACAAATCGGATCTAATTAAACTAAAGAGCTTCTGCACAGCAAAAGAAACTATCATCAAAGTGAACAGGCAACCTACAGAATGGGAGAAAATGTTTGCAATCTATCCATCTGACAAAGGGCTAATATCCACTAATATCCAGAATCTACAAAGAACTTAAACAAATTTACAAGAAAAAAACAACCCCATCAAAAAGTGGGCAAAGGATATGAAAAGACACTTCTCAAAAGAAGACATTCATGCAGCCAACTGACATATGAAAAAAAGCTCATCATCACTGGTCATTAGAGAAATGCAAATCAAAACTACAATAAGATACCATCTCATGCCAGTAAGAATGGTGATCATTAAAAGGTCAGGAAACAACAGATGCTGGAGAGGATGTGGAGAAATAGGAATGCGTTTACACTGTTGGTGGGAGTGTAAATTAGTTCAACCATTGTAGAAGACAGTGTGGCGATTCCTCAAGGATCTAGAACCAGAAATACCATTTGACCCAGCAATCCCGTTACTGGGTATATATGCAAAGGATTATAATCATTCTACTATAAAGACACATGCACAGGTATGTTTATTGCAGCACTGTTCACAGTAGCAAAGACTTGGAACCAACCCAAATGCCCATTAGTGATAGACTGGATAAAGACAATGTGGCACATACACACATGGAATACAATGCAGCCATCAAAAAGGATGAAATCATATCCTTTGCAGGGACATGAATGAAGCTGGAAATCATCATTCTCAGCAAACTAACACAGGAACAGAAATCCAAACACCGCATGTTCTCACTTATAAGTGGGAGTTGAACAATGAGAACACATAGACACAGGGAGGGGAACATCACACACTGGGGCCTATCAGAGGGTGGGGAGTTAGGGGAGGGATAGCATTAGGAGAAATACCTAATGTAGATGATGGGTTGATGGGTGCATCAAACTGCCATGGCACTTGTATACCTATGTAACAAACAGGCATGTTCTGCACATGTACCCCAACTTAAAGTATAATTTTTTTAAAAGTACCTTTTTAAACCCTATGGAAATACATATAACATAAAAATAGTCAATAGCCTACGTGTACATTTAACACCATAGTAATAACCCACTATAAAACACATAAGTGTGTGTGTGTGTGTGTGTGTGTGTGTGTATTTTCCTCTGTTTTAATAAGAAAGATTAAGAATAATTTGCAGTTCATAATCCAGGTGCATATCTTAATCTTCTAGGTAGAATTATCTTTTTTATTTCTCTTTTAAAAGACATATAGGGAGATAATTCAAAGTATTTTAGAACAGCAAATTACTTTGGAGATATCTTGATAATGTTATTTGTTAGTCTTAGAAAGATGTCCCTTCTATTTTTGGGCTTTAATTTTATGTGTATGTTTGAGAGGAGGGAGGTCAATTGTAAACCCTCATAAGTATTTCCCCTTATTTGTTAAAAGAGTTGGAATAAGCAAATTTAGTATTCTGGATTAACAGCATAAACATATCTATTTTTAACCCCCCACCCCCACATGGAACCACCGTTGTGGTAGTAGTATTTTGTGATTTAACTCCTTCATCTCAGGAGGGGATTTGAATTTGACCACCTAGAAGAAAGATTACAAGAGTTATTTCTGGATTAGCAGATATGACTTTTAATAGCCTGGCACCACTGAAAGGCAACTGTATTCTGGGAAGTAAGTGTCATAAACTAAAACACTGATTTGTTAAAAGCCTTTATATTAGACTATGGCTTATTTAAAGACCAAGTTTCTATACTAAGTATAACTTTGGGATACGTCCTTTCATAAAGTGTCCAACTCCACCTCCATAGCATGAGGGGATGAAAAAAAATAATTTCACCTGTTGTTTTTCAGATCTGGCCTTCCTGGGAGAGAAGAGAAGAGGAAGGAGACTGTCATTCATAAGACGGTTCCACAACCCTCAGCCTGCCTGTTTCCCATGACTAGTGCCTTGGTGCTCAGCTATGCTATGCACAAAAGCCTCAGATTCTATCTCTTAGCATTGTGAGGTGACAGGGAATTAACCTTTAACACAAAAGATTCTGTATGGTTTTAGAAATCTTTCTAATTTTGGTGTAACAGAGGAGTATGCAGCTCAGCCCACTTCTAAAAATACACTCTCAGGGGCTCTACAGACTCTAGCAACATCAGGTCCTGATAGGCCTAGTAATTTTGCCCAGAATTTTATGAATTTTTAAAGACATAGTATAGACAGTATCAAGTATCTCTTCGCCATATTAAGCAGAGGTGATATAGAAAACATTGTGCAGAGTAGTTAAATAACAGGCAAAATTTTGGTAAATAATCTGCCCTCTACATTATTCAGAGTAGCATACCATACACATGCATGTATAACAGTCCCTCTTTATCCACAGAGGACATGTTCCAGGCCATGCAGTGGGTGCCTGAAATCACAGATAGTACCTAACTCAACATACATACTATGTATTTTCCTATATATACATGCCCATGATAAAGTTTAGTAATGGCAATCATTAAAGAGTCAGGAAACAACAGGTGTTGGAGAGGATGTGGAGAAATAGGAACACTTTTACACTGTTGGTGGGACTGTAAACTAGTTCAACCATTGTGGAAGTCAGTGTGGCGATTCCTCAGGGATCTAGAACTAGAAATACCATTTGACCTACCCATTCCATTACTGGGTATATACCCAAAGGACTATAAATCATGCTGCTATAAAGACACATGCACACGTATTTTTATTGCGGCACTATTCACAATAGCAAAGACTTGGAACCAACTAATACCGAGGGATACTAGAGAGGTGTGCTTTGATCTTTACCTGACTTTTTCAGTAATGAGTTGCTCACTAAGTTAAAGAAACCTACATACAATAGGCAGATTGTATCCCTACAAATTCCCCTAATGGATTCACAGAAAAAAAAATGTTATTTTATTACAGTTAAAATGAAAAATCATTTAAAGATATTAAGTTTGGCTTTGTTCTACTAAGTAACTACTTTAACCCAACCATTTTGACAGTTGAGAAACTAATTTCTGGACTGACAAATATGGCCCAAACTTTTCACCCTATAGTATTTTGCTCAGAATTCCTGACTTCTAGCCTCACTGCTGGAAGACTGGCCATTTACCTTGCTGTTTTCTGGTTTAACGTGAGCGACTGCTGTCTCAGCTGAAACTTTGCTTATTCTAGAAAAATGGATTGTCTCTCCAAAATTGCTGCGTAGGGGTTTCTTGCTTTATTTTTTTTCCCAAGCTGCATTTTTTTCTAATCTGACTCATAATACAGTTGCTCAATATAGTCCCATTATGCAAAAAGAAATTAAAAGATTTAGCCTATATACCTTATTTACTAATTTAGATAACATTAGTGTTTATAATACACCGACTCAGAAATGCTTTTTTCTTTAATAATTGCTGTTTCTGGATATAAAAATGAATGGTAAAAGATGAAAATTGGAAATTGTTGCTGAGATGATCATTGCTAGCTATGAAGCATTCCGCAAATTTCAATTATTGGCAGCTGATACCATATACTTTTCAGCATATTTCAGGCAAATATCAAATAGACAAGAAAGGAGAGCCTTTCCCTTTCTAACAATTTTTTTCCCCAGCATCTGTTCATTTTTCCTTAGGATTTGGTGTCCATGGAAAGTGACAATATTAATGTGGTAAAGCAGTAACATGGTTATCTAAGGTGTAACCATTAGACTATGCTTGTTAAAACAGCTAAGAGAGCTCATACTGAAAATATATATTTTGTGTTTAATATGAAAAACATGTCAAAAGGTATAATCTCATATTATCTGGTTTTTATGTTTTATTTTGTATGAAATTTAGTTGGTAGTATAAACAAAGCTTTTAATTCATCTGCCTGCTTTATTAATTCAAATGATCTCAAGGTACTTCAAAATATATTTTTGAAGAGTCACTTATGCTAGTAACGGTACATTTTGTGTGTGTCGTTATTCCTACTTAGTAGTTGAGGTGCTTATCAACAATATTCAGAAACAGGCTGAACACAAAGAATAGCCAGCATAGTAATTCTCAAAGAAAGACATTAATTTAAATAGAATGATTTATACACATATATGGTAATTGTTTATATTTGAAGAATTGCATATAAATATTCAGTAAATAGATCTTATTCTTAGTTTGCTAGTATATTTTGATTTATGTAAATATATCAATCAGTAAATTCTAAGACAACAGTGGACTTTTTTTAATCCATCCTAACAGCTCAACAAATTGCAGATTTTAAAGTAAGGTAGAGATGAAGTAAATGAGTTCATGACTTGCTATAATCATTTGCTTTTTATTCAAATCTTGAATCTCTACCCCCAGGGTATCAGTTTAGAATAATAATACTTTAAAGGCAATATTCAAAAACCAGAAAGTTGATGCTTTTTTTTTCTTTTTTTCTGTTGCTTGTTTACTTCCAGCAGTTATCTCCATACTGCTTAGGGTCTGACAAGGCTTCAAAGAGTTGGCCAGCTCTGCTCCTCTCTATAGCTTGGACTCCTCCTCCAAGCTTAAGTATTTGTTGGCAGACCAAGATAGCCTTAAGGTTTCCCTCAGCTTGACTAAACTGCAGACCCTGACATCCTTTTTCTTAGGGCACTGTTTTAGACATCTTGAACCTAAATTCTTTCACTGTCCCTTTGAGGTATGTATTAGTCTCTTCTCATACTGCTATGAAGAAACTACCTGAGACTGGGTAATTTATATAGGAAAGAGGTTTAATTGACTCACAGTTCCACTTTGCTGGGGCAGCCTCAGGAAAATTACCATATGGCATAAGGTGACGCGGAAGCAGGCGCTTCTCTATGAGGTGGCAGAAGAGAAGAGTAACTGAAGGAAGAATTTCCAAATACTTATAAAACCAACAGATCTCATGAGAACTCCCTCACCATTACAAGAACAGCATGGGGGAAACCGCCCCCATGATCCAATCACCTCCCACTAGGTCTCTCCCTCAACACCTGGGGGTTACAATTCAAGATGAGATTTGGATAGAGATACAAAACCTAAGTATATCAAAGCGCAAACTCTTGAAAGCTTCTTACCACTTTTACTGAGAGGTGACGGCGTGCTGGCAGTCCTCACAGCCCTCGCTAGTTCTCGGTGCCTCCTCGGCCTTGGCGCCCACTCTGGCCGTGCTTGAGGAGCCCTTCAGCCCACCGCTGCACTGTGGGATCCCCTTTCTCGGCTGGCCAAGGCCAGAGCCGGCTCCCTCAGCTTGCCGGGAGGTGTGGAGGGAGAGGCGCGAGCGGGAACCGGGGCTGCGCGCGGCGCTTGCTGGCCAGCGCGAGTTCCGGGTGGGCGTGGGCTCGGCGGCCCGCACTCGGAGAGGCCGGCGGGCCCGCAAGCCCGGGGCAGTGAGGGGCTTAGCACCTGGGCCAGCAGCTGCTGTGCTGGATTTCTCGCCAGGCCTTAGCTGCCTCCCTGCGGCGCAGGGCTTGGGACCTGCAGCCCGCCATGCCTGAGCCTCCCGGATGAGCACCGCTCCCTGCTCCATGGCGCCCAGTCCCATAGACCGCCCAAGGGCTGAGGAGTGCTGGCGCAGGGCGGCGCGAGACTGGCAGGCAGCTCTACCTGCGGCCCCAGTGTGGGATCCACTGGGTGAAGCCAGCTGGGCTCCTGAGTCTGGTGGGAACTTGGAGAATCTTTATGTCTAGCTAAGGGATTGTAAATACACCAATCAGCACTCTGTATCTAGCTCAAGGTTTGTAAATGCACCAATCAGCACTCTGTGTCTAGCTCAGGGTTTGTAAATACACAAATTGACACTCTGTATCTAGCTAATCTAGTGGAGAACTTTTGTGTCTAGCTCTGGGATTGTAAAGGCACCAATCAGTACTCTCTCAAAACGGACCAATCAGCTCTCTGTAAAACAGACCAATCGGCTCTCTGTAAAATGGACCAATCAGCAGGATGTGGGTGGGGCCAGATAAGAGAATAAAAGCAGGCTGCCTCAGCCAGGAGTGGTAACCAGCTGGGTCACCTTCCTTGAGGTGGAAGGTTTGTTCTTTTGCTCATTGCAATAAATCTTGCTGTTGCTCACTGTTTGGGTCCACACTGCCTGTATGAGCTTTAACACTCACCACGGAGGTGTGAAGCTTCCCTGCTAAAGCCAGCGGCACCGCGAACCCACCAGGAGGAACGAACAACTCCAGGCGCGCAGTCATAAGAGCTGTAACGCTCAACGCGAAGGTCTGCACCTTCACTCCTGAGCCAGCGAGACCATGAACCCCCCTGAAGGAAGAAACTCCGAACACATCCGAACATCAGAAGGAACAAACTCCGGACACGCTGCCTTTAAGAACTGTAACACTCACCATGAGGGTCTGCGGCTTCATTCCTGAAGTCGGTGAGACCAAGAACCCACCAATTCCAGACACGTTATGACCCAAGAATGCCTTTCTAAAGGGTCTGGGAACCACCTCTTTGAAATGTAAACATTAAGGAAGATGGTGCCTGTATTTTTCAGATTCTGTGGGAGGATAGGAGTCTAACTTCTGTCCAAGTCTTTAACCAAGTTGTAAAACTACCTCCTGTCATGAAGACCAGGGAAAGTTTTATTTTCCTTGGTGTAAGGCCAATTAGGAAACAGATACAGCTTTCTAGTTGTTTATTGCTGGCTTGAATTTTGTTTTAAAAAGAATAAAATGTGTTTAAATTTTGTCGAATTTTGTAATTGGTACGAGAGGTTTTTTTTTTTTTTTAACAAAAGATAGTTTCTATACAATTTGCTGCACAAGTATTTTTAGAACTTAAAATAAGGATTACAATTTTGAAGTGAGAGGAAACTCCAGAGCAGTGTGTTATGATGTAAATTTCTTGGGGTTTACAGTTAGTAAAATAGTCTTGAGCCTCAGCTTAGGCACTCATATACCTTTTGATAGAAACTACGATACTTGACCTCTTTGGCAATATGAGGCCCTTCTCACTGGGTTTTGTGAGAAGTAAGAAAAAAATGTGGTATGTATACACAGTGAAATATTATTCAGCCTTAATAAAAGAAATTCCAATATTTGCAATAAAACAGTTGAACCTGAATGGTATTATGTTAAATGAATAAGACAGGCACAGAAAGACAGATGCCTCAGGATCTCATATGTGGAATCTAAAGATGTTGAACTCAGAAGTAAAGAGTAGAATGGTGGTTACAAGAGGCTGGTAGGTGAAAGGTGAGGAAATGGTTGAAGGATACAAAATTTCAGTTAGGAAGAGTAAGTTCAAGACACCCATTGTACAACATGGTGACTATAGTTAATAACAACGTATTATGCGTTGAAAAAGCTAAGAAAGTAAATCTTAATTGTCTTTGCCACAAAAATATAAAAAATGCCTATGTTAATTAGCTGGATTGAGCCATTCCACAATCTATACATATTTCAAAATATGTTGTACATAATACCTATATGCAATTTGTATTTTTCATTTAAAAATATAATAAATGAAAAAATATATGTGAAATACCTTTGAGCAAAAGTACATTCTCCTCATGCAATCAAGAAACATTTTTACTAGATGAGAATCTAGTAGTTAGGAATTTGGGATGATTAGAACAGATTGTTATTTGTCCTCAGGGATCTTACAATCTAACTGGTAAAATATGTATTAAATGAAAAATAAACTTGTTATGAATTAAATGGAAACAAAAATACTAAACATGATGTGTTCAGGAAAATATGTAACTCATATCTAGTAATTTAGGTGGCAACAAAAATAAAATATGGAGTACGATATTGACTTCATTGTTATTAATTTGTTATTTTATTTTTGTAAATTTGAAACAGTGCCTTATGGGTTATCTGTCATTGATCATTAAATTGAATGATGTGTTAATACCAAGAAAATATGTAAAAAGCATTTCTAGATATTACCTTAAACATTTGTGCCTAATAGAAATCGTAAGCAAAGCATGAACAGTCATTTTCAATACATTACAACTTTTAAACCTGAAATAGAATCGTCTCAATTTAGCTGAGTTTTTACATTTAAAACACATATTGTTACCTTTTAATTCATTAACATTTCAATCATTTAATATTTATATTTGTACATTAGATCTTAGTAAAACTTAGAGATAGTGACTATTCAAAAACATATTTTATGAAACATGTATATATGTAAAAAGTTTTAATGAAAGTTTCATTTTTAATGAAAAAATGTTTTAATAAATATATATATATGTATATATTCCTACTGATATGGGAGGGGGGCAGGGAAGTGATGGACAGAGAAGGGCAGGGTCCCTGGTGAGGGCTCCACCCTCGGCCCTGTGCACATGGACCTAAGTGAGGACAAGCATTTCTGTTTTCAAGCCCCAAAAGTTGACTTTTCGCCCGCCATGCCCGTTATCCTGTGCCCACATAGACCCGACAGGCCTTAGCAGGCACACAAACAAGTGGCTGGACACTGAGAGGAGCAGAAGAGCACACCGACAGACACCAGCAGATGCTGGCAGGCCACTGACAGCAGGATAACGTGGAATTCAGTCCATGGGGTCAGAGGAGAGTGCAGCCGCTGGGCGGCCCTACTCCAGGGGAAGACCACCTTCTCTCTCCATCCCGCTACTGGCCTGCCCATCCATCTCACCGACAGCTTCTTCCGCCACTCCATGAAACCTTGCACCCATCCTCCAAGTCCATGTGTGATCCGATTTTTCCGGTATCCTAGGGCAAGAACCTGGGATACAGAAAGCCCTCTGTCCTTGCGATAAGGCAGAGAGTCTAGTTGAGCTGATTAACACAAGCCACCTGCAGACAGCAAAACTGAAAGAGCACACTGTAACACACACCCACTTGGGCTTCCTGAGCTGTAAACACTCAACCCTAGACGGTGCCATGGGGGTTGGAGCTATAAAACGCTCCCAGTAACCTGCCCATCCGCATGCTCCCCCTAGGGGTTTGAGCAGCGGGGCACCAAAGAAGCGAGCCACACCCTTGTTGCAAGCCCTACTGGGGGGATAAGGGAACTCCTCCTGTTTCACTACTGAGGTCCTCAATATTTTTTGTTCATTTAATAGCTATGTAATAAACTAAAAGTTATAATCTTTTAAGTCACCTCTGAGCTAGACACACAATAAAAAATATTTTACGTTTATGAATTGTATACCCCTGTGAATTATATGCTCTTGTGAAACATATAGTCAAGTAAGGAAAAGTCATAAATATATATATTATAATATCAATTGTATAAAGTGCTATATAGAAAAATAAAGCATGATAAATGTACAGAGAGTAAAAAATGAATGAAAGCACCATTATAGAGACGTGATATTTGAAGAAATCTATGAATGAAAGAAGGGATTCACCTATACAGACTACACAAAATCAGAATGAGTGAAATTGATATCACTAGGGGACGAATTAAAGATATTTAGCAAGGGAACGTTCAATATAACATGCAGAGAGAAAAAGCCAGAGCAGTAGGGTGGAGTTAGTGAGAATTTGGTGGATTTTAGATATAATTTGATGGTACAGTCTACAATATAATCTGATAAAGTGGCTATAAGTAAAAGAGGAGTCAAGAAAGATTTCTGGATTTTTGTTTAGCAACTAGTGAACTGTGCTATCACTTGCTGCAAACGCAACACCAGGGAGGAAGCAGATAAGGTGGGAGGAAAGCAAAAGTTTTGTTTTAAATATTTTGAATTTAACATACTTATAAGGCATCAAAATTGATAAACTGAATATGAGATTGAACATATAAATTTTGATTTTGAAGAATATATGCAATGGAATTAAAATATGGAAGTCATCATTACGGTACTGATGGAAATTTTAAGCCTTGAAACTAGAAGTGATCACCAGGAAGTTAATGTAAATGGGAGTAGTATAATGTGCTAAACTCTGGTGCACTTCCACATTTAAAGAGGAAGAGGAAGATCTAGCAAGAATGATTAAGAATGGTAGACCATGTACTAACTATTTGTGTAGTATATAGAAGTGAAGTGAAGAACATGTTTTAAGAAAGAATTGCTGAGTGAGTAAAGTGAGAACATAAATGAGAATATGTAAGAGTATTCATTAGTTTCAAATTACTGCACAACAAATTATCAAATACTTAGCAGAATAAAAATACACATATTTATTAACTCAAGGTGTCTGTGTGTCAAGAGTTTGACCCATGGCTGAGATGGGTCCTCTGCATGGTTTAAAATCTAGGTATTTTCCAGAGCTGGATTCTTATTTGGAGGCTCAACTGGAAACATAACCATCTCTAAACTCATTCAGATTGTTGGCAGAATTCTTGTTTGTATGAGTGGCTGCAGAACTGAGGACTATAGCTTCTTGCTACCTGGAGGTTGCTCTCAGCTTCTGGAGGTTCTTGCATTCCTTGCCAATGGCAGGTTACTTCATTGGACCAGCAAGGAGAGTTTCTAGAGTGAATCTGCTGGCAAGACAGAGTTTATTTAACATAACACAATCAAGGGAGCAACACACCATCAATTTTGAAATATTCTGTAAGTTGAGGAAAGTGACAGTTCCAGCAAGGGAAGAGGATTATACAAAGGTGTGATCACCATAAGAAAGGGAATATGGGTGGTTGCCTTATAGTCTGCCATCTACGGGTGGCAACTAGAGCAGGAATTTTGAGGCTGAATTCATAAAACCAAGAATTCCTACAAAAATAGTTAGGTACATAGATTGAAATATATATATACATATATATATATATATAATGTTATTTTATTTTATTTTGGAGACAGAGTCTCACTCTGTCACCAGGGCTGGAGTGCAGTGGCACAATCTCGACTCACTGCAACCTCCGCCTCCCCAGTTCAAGCGGTCCTTCTGCCTCAGTTTCCCTAGTAGCTGGGACTACAGGCGCTCGCCACCACGCCCAGCTAATTTTTGTATTTTTAGTAGAGACGGGGTTTCGCCATGTTGGCCAGGGTGGTCTCGATCCTTGACCTCGTTATTCCCCCGCCTCGGCCTCCGAAAGTGCTGTGATTATAGGCGTGAGCCACTGCGCCGGCCTTTTTTTTTTTTTTTTTTTTTTTTTTTTTTTTTTTTTTTTTTGAGACGGAGTCTCCGAGTCTCGCTCTGTCGCTGGAGTGCAGTGGCACGATCTCGGCTCACTGCAACCTCCGCCTCCGGGGTTCACGCCAGTCTCCCGCCTCAGCCTCCCGAGTAGCTGGGACTACAGGCGCCCGCCACTATGCCCGGCTAATTTTTTGTATTTTTAGTAGAGACGGGGTTTCACCATGTTAGCCAGAATGAGATTGAAGTATATTTTTAATGACTTTTCATAATATGACGTCATCCGTCTCCAGAGAGGGCTTATTCATTTTGCTGCTGCCCAGAGAAAAGTGGGGGAACTGGTTGTTTTAATTCAGGTAGAGATTAGGGTGAGTTAAAGCTGGATTGCATTTAATGTAAGGCTCATTTTACATTGGTTTGTGCCTGTCCCAGTGTGTAGTTTTAGGGCATTCAGTTAAGAGTCTAATGTTTTGGCTGGGCGAGGTGGCTCACGCCTGTTACTCCTAGCACTTTGGGAGGTCGAGGTGGGTGGATCACCTGAGGTCAGGAGTTCAAGTCCAACCTGACCAACATGGTGAAACCCCATCTCTACTAAATACAAAAAATTAGCGGGGCTAAAAAATTAGCGTTAGCTACCATTAGCGGACGCCTGTAATCCAAGCTACTTGGGAGGCTGAGGCAGGAGAATCGCTTGAACTCGGGAGGTGGTTGTTGCAGTGAGCCAAGATTGCACCATTGCACTCCAGCCTGGGCAACAATAGTAAACACTCCGTCTCAAAAAAAAAAAAAGAAAAAGAAAAGAAAAGAAAAAAGAAAAAGAAAAAGAATCTGATGTTTCACCAGAGACCCTCTCTGGGAATGTCCTATATTTTAATATTTCTTCCTAAAATGATGAGACTGAAAAAAAAATCCTTCCTCTATTTTCTACAGAGTTTTTAAACTTACATATTAAATATCCGGTCTTGCACAGCTTCTGCATCACAAATTGTTTTCAGGTTAAAAGAGTACATATCATTAGCTGGACTCTCCTAAATTATTTGCTTCATATAATTTTCACCACTCTACTCCTTGTTGGTTCCCAATTTCTGATACGACTACACATATTTTTAAAAAAACATTATTTCATTGTTGAAGTTGTTTCTTCCAGAAGTATTGGTCTCCAACAATTTTTTTAATCCCACAATAAATCAGTGGCCCTTAATTTTTTAATCTAAAAATATTATATATTTCTCAGTTTTTATGCCACTTTTCCTATTCTTTCTGTCATTTTATTACCTCGTATTTCTTTTTCTTGAGTCCATTTTTCTCTGGAGAGGTTAAGAACTATTTTCCTTTATTTCATTTATGTAACTTTTTTCTTTTGGTTTATTTATTGTATGTTACTTTTTTTCTATCCTTTTCTTTCATCTTAGAGTCTGCTAGTCTTTCAAGAATAATGTTTTAAAAAGTTTAATAATTTTAAACATTTAATAATGTTTTAAAAAGATAGTTTAAACTGGAAAAAAATAGTGCCCTATATTTTATATGTTGCCTCAAAAAACTCACAGAAATTCTGCATATCTCTGACCTTTATATGTATCTGTTCCATTATCTTTTGCTGCATAACAAACTACCCCAAATCTTAGTGGCATAAAACAATCATCATTTTAATGTATCTGATCAGTTTGTTAACCATGAATTCAGGCATGCTGACTGTTCCATTCCACATGTCAATAGATGTCACAGAGTATTTTTTATTTGGCAGAGAGGCTGGTCTGAACCATCCAAGATAGCCTCCCTTACATGTTTTTTTTTTTGTCTTGGCAGGGAGAGTTAGAAGGCTGGGCTCAAATGGGAATGTTGATCAGAGTACCTAAAAGAAGTGTCAACAGTGTTGTAGATAGACTTCTTATATGACAGTTCAGACCTCCCTGAGTGTTCTAAAACTCTTAGATGAAAGACAAGATTTTTATGTTCTTGCTTCAGATGTCCTAGAATATAATTATTGGTCTGTTTGATTGGTCAAATTATTGAGGGCAGCATAGAAACACAAATTCTAGGGAGAGAAATTAAAACCTACCTCTCAATGAGAGGAGTAGCAACAATTAAGGATATAGCTATCCTTAACATACCACAATATCGCTCCTCAGTTTTTAGAATTTGCCTTCCATCTATCTCCTACATCTTTTTAGGGAGGGCAGGTTATAAAGGTGGGCATACA
Source organism: Homo sapiens (assembly GCF_000001405.40). Lineage (NCBI taxonomy): Eukaryota > Metazoa > Chordata > Mammalia > Primates > Hominidae > Homo > Homo sapiens. The sequence goes on along the minus strand of NC_000006.12, from coordinate 102,903,084 downwards.
AAATAACTCACAGTAAAGCCATGTAAGTCCATTATTATATAAGATTATTTAGTGCCTAATTATCAGTTCTTAGTTTACTCTCTCTGCAGCTATGTAGCCAAATGTTGCTTTATCTCTTTCACACGCTGAGCCATAAAGTTAAGACATTTCTCATGGTTAGGAGTCCTAATTAGAGTTTGAAACTATGAGTCTTATTAGTGCTGGTTGTGAACTATTTGACTCTCAGCTTTAAATCCATACTTCTATACTTTGCTTTATCATGCTGGTGTGAGGGTTCTTTAAGCCTACAATTCTTTATCAAGTGGATTTATTTTATGCTTTTCTAGTACAGGCACTGGAGGGAGACTGAAATTTGAGAGGAAGAAAGAAGTGACTTGTTTAGCTCAATTCCCTTGTTGTTCCTGTCAGTGTTACTTCATCAGTGTTGCTACATTGTGACTGCAGTAGTGGTTTCCAATTTCCCACTTATTTTGGTTCTTTCACAACAATCCTGATCACCTCCTACCCTAAAAGATTACCAGGACTCGGCTGACTTCTAGCTTTATGAGGGGCTTTAGATCTCTTCTCTAAATAAATGTGATATCAGCACCAACAGACCATGCCACCTCCTGAGAGGCCTCACCCCAGAGCTTATGGGATGCTTACTTTAAGCTCCTGAAATAGTAAGTGCCATTTCTTGTCTTGAGGTGTAAGTTATAGTTTATAAGACCCCTCCTTTCTGCTCCTGGGTTTCCATACTACATGTCTGCCACTCCCTCCTCAAATGTTTGATTCCCAACTCTATGGGGATCCTACTCTTGGCCTCTAAAATCTGAAAACCCTGAACATTTTACTTTTTCCCCAACTTTAAAGGCAACACCCATATCCTCATCTACTACCTCTGCCTTACTTTGTTTGTTTTTGTTTTGCCAGGTGAGCTTTCCGACATCTCATTTTTTGTGTTAAATGCTCTTTGTTGAAATAGCTAGTGTAGTTTCTATTTTTCTAAGTGAACTGTCGCTAACACATTGTACCAACCCTCCTTCATTCTTTATTCCCTTATTGATTGTCTCAGAAAATACAAGGTAAAATTCTGAGAAATTTGGGGTGGCTCAACTTTCTTCAATTCATTTAGTAATTTTGAAATAACCCAATCTATAGGTAAAATAACTTTTTGCTAAAATAATTTAAGTAGTTTCTTCATCTTGAAACAAAACCTAGCCTAATACAGAACTTGACCTGGAGAAAACAACAGGAAAAATGACTGAGATCAAGATCTAAGAGAGAATATAACAATAATAAATGAAATCTTTTCTATTTTGCCATTTTTTAACCTATGTATGTTTCCTTTCTCTCTATAATAATAAAATCTTCTAAAATGCTTGGATACTAGTTTTTTTTTTTAGGAATTATTCTTCATTTCTAAACTGGACCATTCAACTTCAGCTGTGGACTAAATTTATTGCAGCTTTCTTCCTCCTTCATATAGTGGAGAATACCACTAACATAGGCTGATATGGTTTGGCTCTGTGTCCCCACCCAAATCTCAACTCAAATGGTAGTCTCCATGATCCCCATGTGTCAAGGGCAGAACCAGGTGGAGGTAATTGGAACATGGGTGAAGTTTCCTCCATGGTATTCCTGTGATAGTGAGTGACTTCTCATGAGATCTGATGGTTTTATAAGCATCTGGCATTTCCCCCTACTTGCACTCACTCCGTCCTGCCACCCTGTGAAGAAGGTGCCTGCTTCTCCTTTGCCATCTGCTGTGACTGTAAGTTTCCTTATATTAATGGTGGAGAGTGTCCAGGTTCCTGGAATCTTGAACAAAGAATTGGACAAAACACACAAACAAAGCAAGGAAGGAAGGAAGGGATTTGTTGAAAATGAAACTATGCTCCATAGTGTGGGAGCTGGCCTGAGCATAGGGGCTCAAAGGCCCTGTTAGAAAATTTTGGGGAGTTTAAATACCCCGTAGAGGATTCTATTGGTTACTTGAAGCATGCCCTATGTAAATGCAGAGGATGAAGTGAAGTTACAAAGTCATTTACAGCATACGTACTATGGAGAGTATACTTCCTGTTATAGCTGAAGTGTAAATCGGCCTTATATTCCCTTCCTCCAGACCCTATTTTACTGCCTCACCTAAGCCTCCTCATCCATGCAGAACTATGAGTCAATTAAACCTCTTTCCTTTACAAAATTACCCGGTCTCAGGTATGTCTTGTTAGCAGTGTGAGAACGGACTAATACAGTACATTCATACCACAGAGAGTGGGGCATTGCAGTAAAGTTACCCAAAAATGCGGAAGTGACTTTGGAACTGGGTAATAGGTAGAGCTTGGAACAGTTTGGAGAGCTCAGAAGAAGATAGGAAGATATGTGAAAGTGTGGAACTTCCTAGAGACTTGTTGAATGGTTTTGATGAAAATGCTGATAGTCATATGGACAATGAAGTCCAGGCTGAGGTGGTCTCAGATGGAGATGAAGAACTTCTTGGGAACTGGAGCAAAGGTGACTGTTGCTGTGCTTTAGCAAAGAGACTGGTGGCATTTTACTCCTGTTCTAGAGATCTGTGGAACTTTCAACTTGTGAGAAATGATTTAGGGTATCTGGAGAAAGAAATTTCTAAGCAGCAAAGCATTCAAGAGGTGATAGATTACAAAAGTTTGGAAAATTTGCAGCCTGACCACGGAATAGAAAATAAAAATTCATTTTCTGTGGAGAAATTCAAGCCGGTTGCAGAAATTTAAATAAATAATGAGGAACCAAATGTTAATCGCCAAGACAATGGAGAAAATGTTTCCAGGGCATATCAGAAACCTTTACTGCAGCCCTTCCCATCACAAGCCTAGAGGCTTAGGACGGAAAAATGGTTTTGTGGGTTGGGCCAAGGGCCCCGCTGCAATGTGCTGCCTTGGGACTTGGTGCCTTGCATTGCAGCCACTCTGGCCCTGGATAAAAAGGGCCAAGGTACAGCTTAGGCTCTAGCTTCAGAGGATGCAAGCCCCAGGCCTTGGTGGCTTCCATGTGGTGTTGAAGTTGAGGATGTGTCCGGAGTTGGTTCCTGCTGGTGGGTTCATGGTCTCGCTGACTTCAAGAATGAAGCCATGAACCTTTGTGGTGAGTGTTACAGCTCTTAAAGATGGCATGGACCCAAAGAGTGAGTGGTAGCAAGGTTTATTGTGAAGAGCAACAGGACAAAGCTTCCACAGTGTGGAAGGTGACCTCGGTGGGTTGCTGCTGCTGGTTGGGGGTGGCCAGCTTTTATTCCCTTATTGTCCCCTCCCATGTTCCATTTCTCCCCTATCAGAGTGCCCGTTTTTCAATCCTCCCCAAGATTGGCTACTTTTAAAATCCTACTGATTGGTTGTTTTACAGGGCACTGATTGGTGTGTTTTACAGAGCGCTGATTGGTGCGTTTCAGAGAGCACTGATTGGTGTGTTTTACAGAGCACTGATTGGTGCATTTTGCAATATTCTTGTGAGACAGGCAAGTTCCCCAAGTCCCCACTCGACCTAGGAAGTCCAGCTGGCCTCACTTCTCAAGGGTTCACAGAAGTCAAGAACTGAGTTTTGGGAACCTCTGCCTGGATTTCAGAGGATGTATGGAAATGTCTGGATGTCTAGGCAAAAGTTTGCTTCAGGGGCGAGACCCTAAGGGAGAATCTCTGCTATGGCAGTGTGGAAGGGAAATGTGGGGTCAGAGCCCCCACACAGTCTCCTGGGGCATTGCATAGTGGAGCTGAGAGAAGAAGGCCACTGTCCTCCAGATTCCAGAATGGTAGCTCCACTGACAGCTTGCACTGTGCACCTGGAAAAGACTCAGACACTGAATGCCAGCCCATGAAAGCAGCTGGGAGGTGGCCTGTACTCTCTAGAGCCACAGGAGTGGAGCTCCGCAAGGCCGTGGGAGCCCACCTCTTGCATCAGCATGCCTTGGATTTGAGATGTGGAGTCAAAGGAGATCATCTTGGCTTTAAGGTTTAATGACTGCCCCACTGGATTTCAAACTTGCATGGGCCTGTAGCCCCTTTGTTTTGATCAATTTCTTTCATTTGGAATAGGAGCATTTATCCAATGCCTGCACCCCCATTGTATCTAGGAAGTAACTAACTTGCTTTTGATTCAACAGGCTCATAGGTGGAAGGGACTTGCCTTGTCTGAGACAAGACTTTTGACTGTGGACTTTTGAGTTAATGCTGAAAAGAGTTAAGGCTTTGGGAGCTGTTTGGAAGGCATGACTGGTTTTGAAATGTGAAAAGACATGAGGTTTGGGAGGGACTTGGGGCAGAATGATATGATTTGGCTCTGTGTCCCCACCCAAATCTCACCTCAATTTGCAATCCCTATAATCCCCATGTATCAAGGGCAGGACTGGGTAGAGGTATTTAGATCATGGAGGTGGTTTCCACCATGCTGTTGTTGTGATAGTGAGTTCTCATGAGATCTGATGGTTTTATAGGCATCTGGCATTTCCCTTGCTTGCATTCATTCCATCCTGTTGCCTTGTGAAGAAGGTGCCTGCTTCTCCTTTGCCTTCCACCATTATTGTAAGTTTCCTGAGGCCTCCCTAGCAATGCAGAACTGTGAGTCAATCAGACCTCTTTTCTTTATAAATTACTCAATCTCGGTATTTCTTCATAGCAGCATGAGAACAGACTACCACGTAGACCATGTTTTAAGTACTATGAAAAGTGTTATGGTAATTTCAGAAAAAAGTTATATAATTCTACATAAGGAGCTTTAGATATGGATTTACCTGTATAAGGATAATTTATAAGAGGGATGTGTTGGAATTACCACAGTTAAAGAGACAGAAAAACATGGGGGCCGAAATAATTGTTAGAAAATTGTATTCTTGGACCAATCCTTGATTTATTCATCACGGCTTGAGAAGCCTTATATGAGTAACTCATGAATTCAGCAAATTTGCTCAGATTTGCATATTATATTACCCTCACATTGAGCTCCAGTTACTGCCAAAAATATTTTATTCCTTATTCTTTAGGCTTTACATTGTCTTTTTATTCAAAAACCGAAATGTGTCATATCTTCCCTTAAATACCTGACCTCTTTTTTAACTTGATTTCATTATGTACCTTATACATACAGCATTAATTCTATACCCAGCATTAATTCTATACCCAGATGTCGTAATTGAGTCATTACACCTCCTAAAGGATCTCTCAAGTGTTAACTCCTATTCATTCAAGTGAGCTCCTATGGTATTATCATGACTTCTTGACCCATGTATCTGCTGAAATTTCCAGTTTCCTCCTATACTATAAATTCTCATTGACGGTTCATCTTCCAAAGCCTACGTGACTTTCTGCTGCCAGACTTACTTTATAGTCTTCATATATATAACTTCTTAGTGGGGCAATAATAAATAAATAATAATATTTATATATATTTTATTTCTTAGTGGGGCAATAATATATGGAGCTTAGAAAGATAAATGGTGAGAATCTCTTGAAAGATAAATATTTCTGGTTATTGTGGAAGCAAAGAAGGAGACAAATGAGGATTCAATACGCAACCTAGAGGGCATTAATGACAGTACATAAACAGAAAGCTGACTGTGAATTTTACTACTTGTTCAAAGAGAAAGACTGAGGAAACAAAACTATCATAGATGCTATTTTCTAAACGGCGGCTATTTAGGATAACAGTTTCTAAACTCCTATATGAATGTAAGTTATGGCCATATTACAGAGGCCACAGTTTTATAATTATTTATAAATTATTCTGTATATAACATTTAAGATGGAATCATTAAAATGTCCTGGTAAGACTACCAGGATTGCATGCACAGTGTAACTATATTGATCCGGCCATGATAATAGAGCAAACTCAGGTATACCTTATTCCAAATCCTGTGGCACTTTTCCTACTATATCTTACTTCTTAATATAGTGTAGGGAGGCACAGCCCATACTGCAGTATATTCAAGGTGAGAGAAAGAATACAAATATTATTCAGATACATTCCACTTTTAAATTTCATAAGGCAAATACATTTGGTACTGTTTTGTTTCAATATCTCAATTCATTTATTATTCAATTCACTATGCAGTGATATGAAAAAGAAAAAAGGAAGTTAATATCATTCGCTGATCTGGCTTCCCCACTAGAGACTAGCTTTCTTACTAATTCAGTCATCTTCTCCTTACTAGATAAATTCATGCAGCCACTCAGTCTTTTACAATAATTGAAAAAATGCTGATTTTGTGCACTGATGGACTACAAAACTTCACTGGAGATTTTCTGTGATCATAAGTACATTTGATCATTTTAAATGGCGCTTAGGGACTACATAACAGAGAGACTAATTCATCTGTGTTTGGAAGCACAAAGAGGCATTTCATATTCTACTCATTACTTCTTCTGAGAAAGAGAACCTTAAGTATTTTATCAGAGTTCTAACAAGCAAAAATTCACTTTAATAATGCAATCTAAAACATATATATGATTTTTGAATATTGTAGGATGGGCAGAATACATGATATAATAGGGGTTATTATATCATTTCTGTTATAATCTATTAACATTATAAAGTTATCTTATTTTTATTTAAATTAGATACCAAAATTACTTTTAATGATGTGCAATTCATGCCTTCATATCTCATCAGTTTGTCAGTATAAACAATGCTAAAATAATGTTGATATCAATAGCAGATTTCCTTGTTTTTTCAGAATACAGGTTATTTTCCTCTTTGCCACTTTAAGAAACATCCCATCACTAATTGAGGGAATTAATGGTTTTCTGGTGCTTTCTACAGAAGATTTGCTCCAAAATGTAAGTATGGATTAGAAAGAACTGCCTTTCTTCAAACACTGTATTTTCTTGCATTCTTAAGTAATGCTGCTTTTTTAAAAAAATTAAACACTGGCTATGTGGCAGGATCTATATTTTAGATGCTAGGAATTTAAATGATGAATAAGAAAATCAAAGACTCTGCTCTCATCTATAGATCAGAGGAAGATAATAACAGACAAACAGTAAAGGAGGGGACATCAACTGAAAAGGAGGAAAACTATAAATTAAATAAGGAAATGACCAGGCAAAATGACAGAGGTAGATGCTTTTTTACATGAGAGGATCAGGGAAGACCTCCCTAAGAAAATGACATGACCTGAAACCTAACGAATGAAAAGGAGTTAACCACAAAAAAAGAACTAGAGAAAATGTGGCTTGCTGAGGTAAAGGAAACAGCTAATACAAAGCCCCTGATGAGTGAATAAATGTTTTTCGTTAAAAACAAATACCCGAAAAAGATTTGAGTGAACCCTGTGACCAGAACTTCAAAATCACTCAAAGAAGCAGCTAAATACAGGACCTGGTACAATGGCTCCCTGCCAGGTCCGTTCTCTAATTCCACCAAAAGCAAGCAAACAAACTCTTGCTTTCTTAACCCCTTTAAAAATAGAATCTTGGCTGGGTGCAGTGGCTCATGCCTTTAATCCCAGCACTTTGGGAGGCCGAGGTGGGTGGATCACCTGAGGTCAGGAGTTCGAGACCAGGCTGGCCGACATGGTGAAACCCCATCTCTACTAAAAATACAAAAATTAGCTGGGCGTAGTGGTACATGCCTGTAATCCCAGCTGCTTGGGAGGCTGAGGCAGGGGAATCGGTTGAACCCAGGAGGCAGAGATTGCAGTGACTGAAATTGTGCCACTGCACTCTAGCCTGGGTAAAAAGAGCAAAAGAGCAAAACTCTGTCTCAAAAAAAAACAAAAAAAAACAAAAAAGAAAGAATCTTACAATCTTACATCTTGGATATTCATCTGTCAGGGTTTGGTAGAAAATGGAATATAATACAAGCAATTCAAGAGAGTATCATGAAGGTAAAACTTTCATATCAGCAATCCATGTGGCTCAAAAAGGAATATCAGATATCCAGATACTAGCAATAGCTGAAAGTTGTTATTAGTCCTAGGACAAAAGAGATAAAGTGGGGATATTATGTTCTTGAAATCCAAGGAGAGCTAGAAACCTTGAGTATTGGCCATAAGGAAAAAAATATGGCAAAGGGAGAGATTCAGTCACTGCCTAAACATAGTACAAAACAGAAAAAAAGGGAAATGAATATCCCATTCTTTCTTTGTTTTTTACTTTCTCAACTCCTGTCAGTATCTCTCATTGGTGAAACCCAGTGGCATACTAGCTGACCTAGGGGCACAAGAAATGCAGTGTCTGAGGGTAAAGCTCTTGGGCACAGAGCAGTCAAAGAGGAAATGTAATGCACCTAAGGTATGGAAGGTGCTAACTGAAAAAAATAAGCACATCATGCAGAAAGACATGTCCAAAAAAGCAGTGCCTGAGAACCAAATTCAGGTGAGCAAATTTCTCTTTTATACATCAATGAAATTTAACAAGAGGACAAATATATGCCCTTGTTTTGAACATATGTAAGGGAAATATGTCAAAAAACTTGAAACCTTACTGACTGAGATCAGTCACTTGTCCAAATCAATCCTAAAATAAAATTTGTAGCGTTTTTAACAAAATAAGGAGATTTTAACTTTGGAAAGAAAACTGGGAGGTAGACAAAAGAAAAGCTCATGACAATCAGACATGAAGTTTATTTTATGACTGATGAATAGTTATTAATTTGAGAATGAATGAAAATCTGTAACTGTGACTACCTTGAGCACCCTCGGGGCAAAGTGTGCCTCTGCCTGATTGATTGAGCACATCAGAATATTGCAGCTTAATAATAAAAGGCATTAGGTTCTTTCATTCTCTCTAGCTTCAATAAGCAACTTCTCATTTATTAATTCAGTTTTGTTTCAGGCTTCTGCTAAGATACTGAAATAGAATACATTGCTGGCTCATTTCACTGAGGTCCCAGAGAAACTACAGAAGTGGGAAGACGCAGGAGGTGGGGATCAAGATAAGAAGTCAGTGAGACAACCGCAGTGTTGGAGAATTCTCTTGAAGTAGTATAGGTAAACTGCTTGTACCAACCCTGAGCAGGGAACCTCTGGCTTAATTATGGAAAAGCATGTTAAAGGTGCTAATCTTGGAACTCTACTATCTTTACTTGGGACAATCAATGCCTTCTCATATATTTGCAGATACTCAAACTTATTGATGGAGTTGACCTAATGAGTAAAATAAAGACAGTGCAGAAGGTCTTCAAAGATGAATTGAGAAAAACAGGGAGGGGTTTTGACTTGCCTAAAGTTGTGATTTCCATCTTCCTCTAATGAGACTATGAGGATAGGTGGACGAAAATCTATGGAGTGAAGCTCCCACTGACTATAACTAGACAGCCTCATGAAATATGTAAATAACTGTCTTTAGAAATTGAACAAAGGCAGTAGAGAACTGTGATTTCTGACAGAAAGAGAAGAAAGGAGATAAACTGAAAGATGACATTATCTTTCCTTCTGGAAGAATTTCCAGACCATGGTAAAAAGAGGGGCAATTTAGGCAGGATTTTGCAGGCTAAGTTGAGAAAAATGCTGGAGTTCTAGAAGTCTGAAATAGCTAAATTTCATAAGAAAGAGACCAAAGGAGAGCTAGATGTGCAGAAAATATGGCCTAAATCCTGTATAAGGCCCCCACTGAGGAAACTGTTGAATATTAAACTTTGTATGCATAAGATTATATGATGCTGGATACAGAAATACTGCCAAAAATTGTTCGACGCTCTTCAAAGAAAGATATAATTGGTCACTTAACAATGTTAGAATTTATAATAACCAGCATGTAACAAAAATAATAGACATGCAAAAAGCAGGATAACATGAACCAAAACCAAGAAGAAGTCCATTCTTGGCACCTCAGATACTTTGCATTTTTACTCATTGTTCCAGCTCTGATATGGGATGGAGACACCAACCAGGGCTGGGGGTGGGAGTAAGGCTGCCAGCATGGTGAGCTCAGAAGACAGAGCCTCAAGCCAAAGACGATTATTCTCAAGACCCCAAAATTCATGTGTTGAAGACTTAACCCCTAGTTCCTCAAATGACTCAGAATAGAAATAAGGTATTTACAGAGGTGACTAAGTTAAAATGAGGCCATTAGGGTGGGCACTGATCCAGTATGACTGGTGTCCTCATAAGGAGAAGATATTTGCACATAGACACCAGAGAGGGAAGACAATGTGAAGACACAGCGAGAAGACTTTCATTTACCAGCAAAGGAGAGAAGCCTGAGTCCATCTTTACTCACGGCCCTCAGTAGAAGCCAACCCTGCTGATGCCATGATCTCAGACTTCTGAACTCAAGAACTGTGAGAAAATGAACTTCTGTCATTTAATCCACCCATTCTGTGGCACTTTGTTATGGCAGCCCTAGCAAACTGATACATACCGCAAGATTTTTAATCAGAAGGGTATTAAGAAGTAGACAGCATTGACTCAAACAACAAAGAATGAGATCCACATGAAATACAAATTGTAACGTATTAATTTTTATGCTATTCTTTTTCACTTTTCTGAATCAGCTGGTTAAGGTATCTGGATTAATTACTACTTAACTGTGACACCAATTATATCCTTAGTCTTAATATTGCTTGCTTATTTATTTATTTATTTATTGAGACAGTGTCTCACTGTGTTGCCCAGGCTGGAGTGCAGTGGCATAATAGTGACTCACTGCAGCCTCAACTTCCTTGGGCTCAGGTGATCCTCCCACCTCAGACTCTCTAGTAGCTGGTACAATAGGTGTGCCCTACCACACCTGGCTAATTCTTCCATTTTTTGTAGAGATGAGGTTTCGTCTTGTTGCCCAGGCTGGTCTTGAACTCCTGGGCTCAAGCAATACACCCGCCTTGGCCTCCCAAAGTGCTGGGATTACAGGCATGAGCCACTGTGCCCAGCCTTAATATTGCTTTTTACATTCAATGTCATTCTTTTGTATCAGTGCAATACTAGCTATAATTTCCTTATTATTGTCTAAGCCATACAACGGAACCGACCGGTCATTGAGTTTGTAGTTTTTGAGGGGCAACTCAGTTTCCTTTGCTATTACTTTCTTGTAAGAAATGATTTGTTTACCTGAGTAGTTCAACGACAAAGTTACTTTTTATATGTCAAACATTCCCACAGACCAAACAGTTAGAAAAAAAAATCACTGTATCTATTCCACAGCTCATTAGGTTAGGAATTGAATAAATTCTATTGATTTAAGTTTCATAGTCTCTGTTCCCTGTTTGGAAATCAACAGTGGACTCTAATTATAATCTTTCTCTTTATATATGTGTATGTTGTAGTGCTCAAATGTGTGCTCTCCAGAATCCTTCTTGCTGCTGTACAGTCACTATTCTCTCAATAATACAACAACTTTCTTCCATGGAAAAACAAGAAAATCTGACACAGAGGTTGGAAGAAGCACTGTCAAAAACTACACACGGACCCTTAAACATCCAACAATGATATATATTATATATGTGTGTGTGTATATATATATATATATATATATATATGTGTGTGTGTGTGTGTGTATATATATGTGTATATATATATATGTGTACATATATATGTGTATATATATATGTGTGTATATATATATATATATATGCATGTCTATTGATCATATCCTGTAATTAAATGATGCAGCTTATGCTAAAGAATGACCAAAAGAGGACTGAGAATTTCAACCCATATGCTAAAAAATTTTTGGACCAACTATATTTCCTGTCTGTGCTAAACAATTCTGAGACCAAATGAACTTTACTGCTTCTAAGCTAAATAATACTTGTAATTGGTAAAATAACTGAATTGCTCACTTTAGGACATATTTGTTCCTGGAAGCCTGGACTATGAAAAAATTAAATTAGATTATTTTCCCATACTAACATTTTGCTCGTTAAGGACTTCCCAAAAATACAGAGCTATTTTGCATAAAAACTGCTTCATTTCAACCAGTCCTCTACCTTGGATGAGCTGTCTTAAAATTACTAAGGGCGGCTCATAAAATCATGTGGATATTATTGTATAAATTCTGATAATGAGACAAAACTACTATTTGCTCAATGTGACTTTCTCTACGAAGATGCTAAGTCCAATAAACTCAGCTTTGCTTGTCCAACTGTCAATGATTTTGGCCAATATTTTTGAAAGCAATAGAGAATTTTGAAGGATTTTTAGCAAATGATTATAGTCAAATCTGCATTTGGAAAAGATTATCTTGAATAGAGTAGCAAGAGAAGATTTGCAGAGTCCAATGAATAGCTTCAAACTCCTAAGCTTTTAGTGTGATAACATTCTAAATTCTCATAATTATTTTTTATTTAGACATTCTTACAGTTAAAATAATAAACTTTTAAATAGTATTAATGGACTTTCTGACATTTTATATATCACTATAAATCAGTGAATATATTATATATTCATATCAACATTAATCTATGAAGTTACTTATGTGATAATATTGATATTCAGGGATATTAGAGCCAAGAACTAGGTCTCAATTTCCAATGACTGCGAGCAGGAATTGCCTACCTGAAAGTCTCTGGAGAAGTCAGCCAGCTCATTTGCCATCTCTTAATAGCAATGTTACTGTCAGTCAATCCAGTCATCCAGTTTTAAAGATAAAGTATTGACATGAAAATAATCAAATTATTTAATGGAAAATCGCTTCTTCATATTGTTCGCTGAATGATTCTATATAATTCACTAGTCAAGAGCTCTCATTAAATTTATAAACATTATAATGTATATTCAATTCATATTGCATTCAGAAGAATTCTAAGTACATTCTTGTATACAGAACTATGATCCCAATACTGATCAGTTTGTATTCATGTTCAAAGCTTGTGATTACTGGGAACATTTCTCCTAGAATTGCCCAGTCTCTAAGGCTATCGATCTAGTGCCAAACCTTACTGCATTTATCCATCTATTTTTAACTGACATGATGGATTTGACCTTTGCTATGTTCTGTAATTTTACTTCTCTGAAGTTCCTTGTAGTGAATATGTCTACAACAATAAATCGCTCCTTAAATGTAGTCCTTGAATTAAGTATAAGCTTTAATAGAGCAGAGTAGCTTATTTATCAGTTTGTTTTGCATTTTTCTGAATGATTATCTTAATCACCAGTTCTGGTTTTATTTATTTAACAAGTTACATGTAGTCACATATTATTTGAAGTTTTATGATTTATTTTATTGTGTATCATGAGGTTTTGAATTTGAAAGCTATGGAAAAGTATAAATCATTATACAAATGTTTGATGCTTTATTAACAATTTCACTATAACGTATTTTTATTCTTCAGCGAAAATACATTATATAATGTAAATACTTCTGAAGAATTTTTATCTTGAATCACAGTAATGGAGTGGAGGTATTTGTGTAGCTATGAATGAATCTATACTTTATTTCTATGTTACTGTGATGGCTTCTAAAGGCTTTCTTCCTCTTAACTTCATCTCAACCTATTTTCCACCCCAACTCTAAGCAAAAATTCCATTCATTCATACCCATTTCCAAGATTAAAGGTTATTATTATGTTCAATTTCACTGAAGATACTGCTACCCCAATGTAACTAGTAAAGACAATAGGAGAATGTCTCCAGGCTTTCCATAAGAAATACTTCAACTTTTCAAAACAGCCTTAGAAAGATTAATTAACACCTAAAGGATATATACACTTAGGGTGTTTCTAACAGGCTACAATAATGTCTGTAATCATTTAAAGACTGAAATACACAATAGGGGAAAAACTTGGCTCAACAGCACAACGTTGACCTCTAATGTTGGAATCACAACAAATCTGGTGTGGATTCTGGTGTTTACATCAAGAGAAGAACTGACTATTCTTTTAGACATGCATGCTCTAAACTGCATAATCTAATGGTCCTTCCACTTTTAGGTAACAGTTTTAGACTCATTTGAAATAGTATCAGCGTTTGATTGAAATTAGATAGAATAATTTTCAGGGGAGCAGGGAGAAGGAGTTGAGTGTTAGCAGGGGAAGATATATTGTAGTGACCTCTGGTAAAATTACTCTAGTAAAACAGAAAACAGGTTTATACATTTTAGACATTATTCAGCAAATATATATGGCTCCTCTCTATGTGGGTATTCTTTTTTAATAGTTATTCAAGACCATGCTACTTAATTTGACCAACGAAATATTAGTGTCGGGAAGAACCTGAAGAGCCTGTGTTGTGCACTCATGCCTTTTTCCCCTGCGTTAACAATCACGGACTCATGCAGCAAGATAGAATTTCTGCCAGTCTGTGTGTCTGCAATGCTTACATACTTTGAATGATAGCTGTATTTGTGTTTTTTTAAGGCACTGAGATTTGTACATATTTTATCACTGCATTCTAACTTAGTTCATCCTAACTGATACAAATGTTGGTTAAGTTCAACTCATTCTAAGATCTGTAAAACAACAAATCAGTTGAGTGTTCAAAGAGTAAAGTCCTATCTCTGTTATATAACTCCTCTTTTCATTATTAGGCTTTTATGAAGAGTTATATTAGTTTTTATTCCTTCTTACTTTCCTTTGCTTCTAAAATGGTTGAAATCTAGTTTGCACTCTGACATCCAAAATGAAACTTCTCTAACTAAGCTACCTAACAGCCTTCTTACTCACAAGTGTAATCAATATTTTAAACCTCATCTTATTCATACTTTCACAATATTTGATTCTTCCTCTTTGAGCTCCCCCTTCTTTGACTTCCGGGGCATAATTTACCTTGGGACAATCACCTAACTTCTTGTACTCCCATTCTCTTTGAAGCTTTTCCAATACTCTAAATACTAATACTCTAAATACTCTAAATACTAATGGTTTTTAGGATTTTATCTTTAGCAGTCTTTCTCTCATCAAGCATTGCTGTTAGGCAACCTGACGAAGTCTATGGTCTTTAACCATCCCCTAAAGACTGTTCAGGTTTCATGTTTTCTATGAGCTTCAGATTAAAATTTCTTACTATCCAAAGGATATTGTTTATGCCCTGAGGCAACTTACTTTCATTATGATATGGAAGTGCTGGGAAGGGAAGAGCTTGGTCTCTTTAAACGATCTGAAAGTGGGGAAGGGAAGTGCTGGGTAGAGGAGGGTGTGGCCCCTGGCTAGGCCTCCATCCCCACGAACCTTGGTGAGGACAAGCATTTCCTGCCCAAATGTTGCATTTCCCAAGACCAGCCTGGCCTGCCATGCCCCCATCCTGTGCCTATAAAAACCCCCGAGACCGTAGCAGGCAGATAACACAAGCTGCTGGACGTCAAGAGGAGCACATCGCAGAGAAACACACAAGCGGTTAGACGTCGAGAGGAACACAGTGACCGGCACTGGGCATGCTGGCAGGCCACTGACCAGCAGAACAAAGCGAAGTTTGGCTGGAGCAGTCAGAAGAGAGCCTGGGCCACTGAGCTGCCCAACTCCAGGGGAAAACCTTCCCAATCCATCCCCTTCTGGCTTCCCCCATCTGCTGAGAGCTACCTCCCCTCAATAAAACCTTGCACTTAACTCTCCAAGCCCAGGTATGATCGAATTCTTCCAGTACATCAAGGCAAGAACCAGGGATACAGAAAGCCCTCTTTCCTTAAGACAAAGTAGAGGGCTGGTTAACACAAGCCACCTATAGGGGACAAAACTAAAAGAGCACCCTGTAACACACGCCCATTGGGACTTCAGAAGCTGTAAGCATTCATCCCTAGACATTGCCATGGGGTCGGAGCCCCATAGCCTGCCGGTCTGTCTGCTCCCTAGAAGTTTGAGCATCAGGGCATTGAAGAAGTGAGCTGCACCCCCATCGCTCGTTCTGTGAGGGGGACAAGGGGACTTTTCCCATTTTAGTTATTCCTACTATTTTGCCCATATTTGTACAATCACTAAGCCCAAAATTTGTGTTTAATTCTGTATACCACCTTCCGTTCACTGTCCTCTAGTTGCTTCCTATGCCTTCCTATACTACAGTTTGCAAAAACATATCATTTTCTCTCACTTAATATGTCTTGAATCTTTTTCTTTCTTATGATAACCATTGTTGCTTCATTTATGTAGGGCTTTATCTTTTATTTTGAAATGCTGCCTCCTCCATCTTTATACTGGATTAATGTTTCAAGTTCCATCATCTCCTCTCATTTCTCGATGAGACGCAAGATAGTTTGATTCTAAGTAACACTTCATCTTTTTTTGTTTTGCTTACATTATTTCCATGACTCTCCAATTCAATTTTTAAACTTTTTAAACTTCATATATTCCATAGACATACAAACAGCTATAATGCATAAAATAAATACATCTACCTGATTGCTGATGGAGATGCAGATTTTTTTTCGTTGACCTTGTGCTTTAACCCCAATCTGATTATATACCATAAACTGCCCTCTAGGAATCCTTAGGGCTCCTTGGAATTAAATTTTGAAACCAATATCAAATACCTTACTAATACTAAAAGCCAGTAGCAGTAACAGGTATAGCACAAATTAGATGGCACATGTTACTCTTTATGATTCAGATTTATGTTACTTTGTACCTTCCTTTTACTATATACCACATATAATACTTATTTTTAGTTTCATTTGTAGTTTTATCAGCCTGAAGTGCTTTTCCTACTGCTCTTTTTGGTTCACCTTTATTAAGATTAATTAAAATTAGTTGAAAGCTTTAGTCTTGGATTTATACCAATGGTTGTTCTATGTTCAGACCCTCTTCTTCTTATTATTCTTTTCATGTGTCTATTTTAAAAACAGATTGATCAAAATCCTAGTTCAGTATTACAGGCTGCAGTATTCAAAGTCTTCCAAATAATTTTTGAAGTTGGTTCTAATGAGAGCAAAAAAGAGTGTATTTTCTTACCCAACATTAAAAACTCTTGAGCTGTTAGTTTTCCATCATTTTCTGGATGACATTCTGCAATAAAAGAAAATAACATGTAAAGCAATGAATGAATGATGGAAAGGAAATTATGGAAACATGAATCCTCGTTTTAGTGGTTCCTAGGGTTTAGGTGTATTCTTGCCTTTCTGGTGGGTTGAGTGTTCAGTCTTTCATTATGTAAACTGCACTGGTGTCCACAACATACTCTATGTGTATTAGCTAATTTGAATTAAAATTCCTTAATTTATACCTGACTTAAAAAAATTATACACACATAATCACAAAAACTTGCATGTATTTCAGGAACTTTAAAATTTTTCTAGATCCTACCCAAGGACTTCAACTTGAGTAACACTGTTCCGGGCAAAGTTCATTTTTCCTCAGTGTTCCCGTAGTTCCTCATTCAGAAGTCATTTGTAGTTGAATCATGCCTCTTTAATAACTTGGTTCATAGCTTGTCACTACTCTCTCCCATACTCTGAACTCTTTAATGGAAGAAATTGTGCTCCGTTCACCTTTATTTAATGAGTTCTCTTTATTCTATGATTATATTTTAATGTTTGAATGTAGAAGATGGTAGAGCACATTTATCTTATGTGATACTCTGAAGATTATCCCAGACTTTTGAAAGTTAAAAAGAGCAACACTTTGGGAGGGTGAGGCAGGCGGATCATGATCAAGAGATCGAGACAAACATGGTGAAACCCCATCGTCTCTACCAAAAATACAAAAGTTAGCTGGGCATGGTGGCATGTGCCTGTAGTCCCAGCTACTTGGGAGATTGAGGCAGCTTGAAATCCGGGAAGTGGAGGTTTCAGTGAGCCAAGATTGCATCACTGCACTCCAGTCTGGCAACAGAGGGAGACTCTGTCCCAAAAAACAAAATAAAACAAATCAAACAGAAAAAGAGCATTGGAGGTTAGGTAATTTTGTGTCCCAACCTACATAAACATCTATTTTTGAAATCTTTGGAGAACTGGTCATCCATCTCTGTTTAAATATGGTATTGATTCATGACATACCTTGTTCTATCAATGGGTAGTGTTAGCTCACGTGTATTGACACACAATTTCAATGTCAATTTTTAATCTCCAAAATGACAGAAAATACTTACCCAATTTAAGTAACTATTAGTCAGCTAGGGCTGCCATAACAAAATATCATAGACTGGGTGGCTTAAATAAAAGAAAATTGTTTTATCACAGTTCTGGAGGCCAAAAGTCTAAGATCAAAGAGCTGATAAGGCTGTCTTCTCCAGAGGCTCCTTTCCTTTTTCATCAAATGGCTGCCTTCTCACTGTGTCCTCATGTGGTATTTTCTCCGTTTGTGCTCATGCTGGTATGTCTGTCTCTTCTTAGGACACCAGTCCTACTGTGTTAGCGGCCCTCTCTTATGACCTTATTTAACCTGTATATTCTTCTTCAAGAACCTCTCTCCAAATACACTCACATTGAAGGTTAAGATTTCAACAGGTGAATTTGGATCTGTGGGACATAATTCAGTCCAGAACAGTAATAAAATGTTTATGATTAGCTTAACTCCTGCTCACATAATTAGAAAGGCATCTTTGTATTTTAATTTTTGAACAATGATTCTGAAAAAATTCTATTTGATCTCAGAATTTAAAATTGTTCTTTATAGTTCAATCTCTCAGTATCTGTGAGCCATCTCATAGTCTGAATAATTTACAAATATATTGATTACTTAGAACTAGTGCCACAATAATTATGTTTTCCTTCTCAAATTTGTCAAAAAATGGTATTTCCTTCACTCATCTTTAGGAAGTATGATTCATTTCCTGCTGAAAATTACTGATTTTATGAAGTATGAGTAAAATAATGCAGGGAGAACAATTTTTCTGAAGAGTCACTTCAATTTTTGTTAACAGAAACTTATTCAAAGTACAAAGAGTATCTGCTTATATTTCCACTAAAATCATTTTGATTGTAAATTAGAGAGTATTTGTTTGATATCAAATATACATATTTCATCTTATTCTGAATGACAGCTACCATATGCAGTTTTTCAACCACATAAATTATATTAGACATAAATCAGTAGCATGGCCAATTTAATGGCATATGTTTGGGATCATTTTTCTTTCAACTTTTAAGTTCAGTATTTTAATTATAACTAAAACACGTTTTATAATAATCTAAGAGTTTCTGAATATGCCAGTAATAATCTCTTGACATTCATTTTATATTGATTAAATTTCTGCATTTTGTTTATATTTTTGGAAGTTATTGATAGTATGGATATAAAAAATTCTTGAGTGCTTCAATTTAATTGATAAGGTGATTATAACGCCTTACTGCTTATAATATTTACCATGTTCTCACAATGTAGTAACTACTGTTATTTCTGTAGACCTTAATAACAGTAGTTATTTTCACTTGAGTGCTGTTTTTATAGAGACAAAAGTATATAAATTAAAAGATTTTTCTCACCAAATACACTGAGTGAATACCTCTTGTACCATCTCAGAGTCAAAATAAGAAAGGGGATCACAACAATAAACAGAAAAGTACTGTCATATAGAAAAAAGGAAATAGGCATTCTATGTTTTCAAGGAGGATGTATATTTACTAGAGAAAATTTTCAGAAGAGTAGTATTCTTTGTGATTATAGAAAGGTTTATTTGAATTACATATTTATGCATGTTATCTTCTATATAGTGGCTTTTTACTACTTAGGTAAAAGATGACATTTTACTACTTAGATTAATAAATTTGAGTACTCTAGGCTCTATAACCAACATATTAAATGACGCTTTTCTTTTTAGTTAATTAGTACAGATTAGAAAATTGGGTATTCGGCCTACTAATTTAAAAATAATACACAAAATTTATGTTACATGATTAATTTTATAACTTCTTTTCTTATATAAAAATCCTATAAAAAAGAGAGAAAATCCTTAGCAATATATAATTATGAATGCTGTAACAATTCTTTAGCAGTAAGGAATCTATTCTGCCACAATCTAGCTTTATAACCTTGGCACACTCAACTTCTTAAAATTATAGGCAGATTTTATGGCAGGAACTTCATACACTGGAGACTAAAAGGAAGATAAGTGGATGATAATATTTCAGGTATTTTTTAATGTCCTCAGGTATTTACTTAAACAAAACGTGCTGGAGGTAGTGATGATCTGTAGTTGAGACAATGGGGACCTGTGGCAGAAACAGAGATGTCTTTCTAAGGATCTTACCTCCCAAAGATCTTTATGACAAGGTTAAATTACCTTTAGAGGTCAGGTGGCGTATGTATACTTTTGGAGAGCTTCTGGCTACTTTAGAACAAATGGATAGATACACTCTTTGTTACATTAGAAATCCAGAATTTATTTTCACTTTTTTTCTATCTATTGTTGAGATACAGTATTTTCAGATAAGCACATATTGTACGTATTTGACAATATAAGTTTAAGATTCTGGAATGATCTGCCCTATTACAAGTTATAATCTGTATCTTGTGGCTTCAGAAAGCTTGGAAATTGTTACAGAAGAGAAACAGCAATGTGGTAGCTGTCTTATTAAGGCAAGCACACAAGCTATTTAAAAAAAAAGTGTAGAAAAACGGTTAACATAAAGGGGGAAAAATCCACAAAGAACTATGTTACTATGGAAACATTATAGTGTATATATACCATAAAAAAGCAAGCCAGCGAATTAACTCATCTGTCTTTTCTAATATGTAATTCTATAATTTCTTTTGATGCTTAAACCTAAAATTTCCTTTCTGAAGAGAAAACTAACGCAACATTGCATTCAAATTTCCTGTCATAATAACTTTCAGTAAACACAGAAATGAATGTGTTGTTTGTATAGTGTAAATATTTTTATGTCCTCTACTCACATTATGTGATGATCAGGGTGCCCAGTATGCTTATCAAAATACATGATCTAGGCAGGTAACTTTCCTTTCCTAAAAAGAAATATGCATCTAGCATTTTAAAGTTAAATCAATAAAAACAAAAACTAAACGAACAATATGGGTCACTTTTTAATTTGTTTTATAAATTTCTAGATATTAATTTTTATCACTTTTCCTTCTTGGTATTAGGCTTATTGATGCTCATCACTAATTTTGGCATCTATTGCTTTTGTATGAAAATTCAAGTGACTGTTTTTCCACCTCAAATTCTGTTTAGAAAAAAAATACATTTCCTTAAGTGAATATAATGATGATATAGATTTTTGTTTTAATTACTTAATCAATGAAACTTATTCTGCAACACTTATTTTAAATTAAAAAGAAGAAAGTCAGGTGAGTAGTTTGCCTGTAAGATACTATGCTGTATATCTTCTGAATATTTTTATATCTGATAACTTATAAGTATGAATAGGTTTGGGGGATCATCTGAAAGCTTGCATTTAAATATTGTATATATGAATATGTGTGTGCACAGGTATGTGTTTTATGTATGTATATTTTATATATATATTAGTGGTTGCTTTTCAATCACGTCTGTAGAAAACAAGACATATGAAGAAGAAACACATATAAGTTATTCAATTTTTGGTTACAACTAGTGTCATTTCAAACAATTTTAAAAATATATTATTTCCTAAATCAACTCTGAATATTCTAGGATGAACTTTATCCTAAAATAAGAGTCTATGTAATAATATTAGCTTTCATTATCATTTAGAATTTGTAAAAAAGCGATTAAATGTTTACCTAATTAAATCATATTTTCAAATTTGTCATTATGTACCTATACAATTCAAGCTAATATTGGTTGTTTTAAATACAATTAGTTTTTTTAAATAAAAAGACTAAAATTAATGAAGAGTAAAGAAAGTTTTATATTTCTCAAGCATATTACTTATCTTTGGTTCAAACATTTTCTTCTGTAAACAGAATCTTTGGGGAGTCAATAACATAATGAATAATAGTTATTAGTATCAGCCTGCATTTGTATGTGCTGACACATTTTTCATGTCACTGGTAATCTACTAGTATTTTGCAACACAATGAAACCTATTTGGATAGAAAATTACAGAGGCATAGGAAAGTAGATTATCATCTTTCTGGGCAGCTTTTATTTATAAGAATTTTTAGCAGCATTTCTCATTTGATTAGCTTAATGTAGGAGTAGAAATATAAATATTTAAGTATATTATGAGAACAAAATGGTAGGTAATTATTGGCAAGGCTTTGTTTTCCTGATTAACTTCTCTTAAAAGGGAATAGTTAAGTGAATAATTTGGAAGAATGCACTGAGTTTCAGGTTAATAGGGGTTGGTACTTTCTACTTTACCAAGAGAAATTAAATCAAAAGAGGGTTGCTGTATAAGGAAAACATACATTTGAAGTCAGTCAAGCTGTCTCCCTTAATTAACCTGGAAACTATTTGTGGAAAATAAAACAATGTCTAGTGCCATGAAATATAAGCATTTTTGAAACACTGTGCTAATAGGAGACAGATATTTTCTGAAGAAAGATTGCATGTTATTCAAATAACTTACAATGTTGTAACAAGTCAGGATTTTCATCATACTGTAGTTATTATAAAACATCTAATTCGCTCTTCACAGTGATCCTATGAACATCTTCCATCTATTTGAAGAACTGCATGAGAGAAAAATACCAGAAGTATGATTACACTTCCAGAAAGTTTCCTGAGAGCTAGTCCAATGTACTTTTACTCATGCCACCATTAGACCCTCAACAATCTTCCACAGACAGGTGATAATAGCTTTACTTGGGTGCAACGTCAAAAAAGGTGTGAACCTAAGACATAAATGTGAATGAAAGACAGGTTAGAAAAGCAGAACAAACCAGACTAGGAAATCAGAAATAGCAGCTTGTTCCCTAGCCATTTATGTCTATTTTCTACAGACATAGTTATAGACAGACAATGTTTTTATTATTTTTAAAAGCAGGAAAATTAGATAAATGTGCCTTTTAATTTCAGTGGAAAAGTGTTTTTGACCCTTCTATTGCATTATTTTTGTAACTCTATAAGGTCTAGTATTATCACCTCTTCTTATAAGGAAAAGTAAATAATATAGATGGAATGTCGAGTCTTGGCTTCATGTAAATAGTGTAACACATCACTACGATACTTCCAAAATAAGAAAAAAAGAGAAATTAACTACTGAATTTATATTTGACTTTTGTATACGAAGCCAAAACCCGCAAAAATTCTTCAAAGATCTGTATTTCATGTATTTCTTATTTTAATATTTCAATTAATAATTGACTGTGGTATAGTTAGATTGAGCTCTGTTTTCTTAGAGAAGACTCATAGTCTGAAATATGGGAAGAAAAATCTTCTTAAATTAGGGCTGATAAAAATAAAAGATATTTGATTTTAGCTATCTTGAGCATACAACACGTTGAGTGAACTCTTCAGCAACTTCCAAAGATTTCTGAGGGTACTTTGCTCCTGGGTGTTTAGACTGAGAGAGAAAAGAAAAGACAAATGTGTCAGAAAGCAAGCCACATGTAAGTACAGCTTTCAAACTAGTGGATGGGGAAAATCTTCAAAAATAACTAAACATTAATCATAAAGGAAGAAACCATTGGGGGTTTAAGAATTTATTTGAGCTTCTCTGTAAACGAAACAGTGCTACGAAGACTAAATAAAATGAAGGTTTTTGGGAATATGCCTGGTAGAACACCAAAAATTCTGGCTTTTAATTTTTACTCATAAATCCCATTAAAATCAATTCTTAGTAAAAGATGGGATAAGTCATAAAAATCTCAAACTGTTGTTTATCGTATACAGCTTAATAAATTTATAATGTTATTAAATATGACAAACAGCACGTGACTTAATAAATGGCTCCTGTCATTTATCTACACATTTCAAAATGCGTTCCTAATATAATACATCAAGGTGACCACTATTGATTCAAACCATGCCATGGAACACTATTTTTTGTAATTAAATTATGTAGCTGGTTAACACGGGTGAGAAGAACGATACATTTATATGACCTGTCCCTATTTATGGTTCATTTTTGATTTTTTAATATGTTTTTTATATTTTTATTATCATTATGTAAAATCTAATTCAAAATCATCTTTTATTTTGTTGAATAGATTTTCCCACACATCCTATATAAAAAGTGGATCAGAATTCAACTGTGATATAAAGCATCAGGATCATATTTATATATGAATTCATGAGAAGGGAATATGCATAAAATATTTTCATACTGCTTTTAAAATTATTAAAAATATAACTTTCATCTTTTTTACTGCAACCATTTTCATAGGAAAAATGTAGATCTATTTATTTCCATGATTTTGCTCACATTAACATATGATACGAGTCTAAAATTAAAACAGAATTATTTTATATGCACTTTCTTCATGCTTACTTAATAGTCATGTTTTCTCTCCTCTTTCTTGCTTTTACATATCATGTAGCTAAGTCTACTCAGTACCTTATTTCTTATTTAAATTTGGATCTCCTGTTCTCATATTTGTGACTTTCTTTTTCAGTTTTTAAAAGTAATTAATTATATGTTTTACAGACACGTACATACACACACATATACACACACTTTTATCCTTGTGAACTCACCTCCCAACCTAAGAACTAGAAAATTGCTAAAGCTAACCTGTGTACTCATTTCTAATTTCATCCTCCCTCCCCTTCATCCCCTCATTCAAACATAAACACTATCCTGTGTGATTTTTATTAGTATTTGCTTTCCTTTATCAAAAGATGACTTAGCATATTTATATGTGACTATACATATAGATGTAGTTTTGAATTTATATAAATGGTATGCTTTATTAGGGACCTTGTCTTTTTTCACTCATATTATGTATGTAAGATTTACCCATGTTATTACCCATGCATCTCTGGTTAATTCATTTTCACCAGTGTGTAATATTTTGTTTTGTGACCAAATCAAATTTTATGTTTCCATTCTTCTTATAGTGGCTATTTGCTTGGTTTCTATAGTGGGTTGAATAAGGTGCCCTTCAGAATGTAACTTTATTTGCAAATAGGTCTTTGTGAATGTAATTAATTAAGGATCCTGATATAATTATTATCCTGGATATAGGACAGCTCCTAAATCCACTGACTGATATTCTTATAAGAAGAGGAGAGGACACAGAGACAGGGAGGAAGAAGACATGTGAGGATAGAAACAGAGATTGGAGATATACTGTCACAAGCTGAGAAATTTCAGGGAGCACTAAGAAGTAGAGAATGCAAAGATTTTTTTCTCAATAGCCTTCAGAGGGAGCGTGGCCCTGCCAGTACCTTGAATTCAGACTTGCAAGGACATAAATGTGTGTTTTCTTAAGTCTTTTTTCTATCACCTTTGCCTCTTTATCTCTATTTTGTATAGTCTAATTGTCTGAGCCTCTGGACTTCATCCTGGTAAAGTTTCTGACTTGTTGTCCTGCTGTGTATGCAATTCCCACTCTTCCATAAGAGGTGTTTCATCAGTTGGTGAACCCATTCACTGAGGTGTAAATTTGTATAATTTCATATGCTGTTTCTTTTCCTCTGCCATATACTTTAATACTGTCCCTTTCTTGATAATTATTATTATTCTATGCTTTATTTCTTTAAGCCTTAATATTAATACATGTTATTTTATATTCTGCATCTAATAATTTAAAATGTGAATTCCTCAGGGATCCATCTCCTTATTTCTCCTAGATCCCTAGTGTTAGCTTGTTTTACATATTTTGTGTGCCGCATGAAAATACTAGGTTTCAAATTTTGTGTGAGGAACCTGAACAGATTTTAGTTTATATCATTAGCTCATGTCCTTCTCTTGGAGGTTTTAGTCACAATCTTGAGGGTATTTCTTTATTTAATTCCTTACTTACAGAAGGAACCTGTATTAGTCAGGGTTCTCTAGAGGAACAGAACTAATAGGATAGATATGTATATAAAAGGGAGCTTATTAAGCATTAACTCACACAATCACAAGGTCCCACAATAGGCCATCTGCACACTGAGGAGAAGGAAAGCCAGTCTGAGTTCCAAAACTGAGGAACTTGGAGTCCGATATTCCACAGCAGGAAGGGTCCAGCACAGGAGAAACATGTAGGATGGCAGGCTAGGCCAGTCTCGTCTTTTCACATTTCTCTGCCTGCTTTATATTCTAGCCATACTGGCAGCTGATTAGACGGTGCCTACCCACATTAAGGGTGGGTCTGCCTTTCCCAGCCTACTGATTCAAATGTTAATCTCCTATGACAACACCTTAACAGGCACACCCAGGAACAATACTTTGCATCCTTCGATCCAATCAAGTTGGCACTCAATATTAACCATCACAAGTCCACCCCTTGTCAACTTGAACCCATACACATCTCCTGAGACCATATATAATCTTCAAATAAAGACAATAATAAAGCCATAATTATGCCTAATATAATACAACTGTCCTTCGTACAACCAGAAATGCACCAATCCCCAACCCAAATACTATTACATAAAGTTAACAATACTTAAGTATTGATATGAAGTCAATAAATCTTAGGTCACATATACACCATGGAATACTACGCAGCCATAAAAAATGATGAGTTCATGTCCTTTGTAGGGACATGGATGAAACTGGAAACCATCATTCTCAGCAAACTATCGCAAGGACAGAAAACCAAACACTGCATGTTCTCACTCATAGGTGGGAATTGAACAATGAGAATACATGGACACAGGAAGGGGAACATCACACACCGGGGTCTGTTGTGGGGTGGGGAGAGGGGGGAGGGATAGCATTAGGAGTTATACCTAATGCTAAATGACGAGTTAATGGGTGCAGCACCCCAACATGGCACATGTATACATATGTAACAAACCTGCACGTTGTTCACATGTACCCTAAAACTTAAGGTATAATAATAATAAAATTAAAAAAATTAAAAAAAAATCTTAGGTCACATGATAAAGAAAAAAGGAAATAAAAAGATATTTTATTAGTACAAGTGAATACATGCACAAATATGTTTTTAACAAAAGAAGGAGGAAATACTTATGACAATTGTAGTCCTTGTTTCTGCAATAGGTCACGTGGTCATAGCTGGTATTGATGACTACCTTCTTCTACTACCCATTCTGTACTCACTTTGCCTTCAGCAAGCACCTCAGCAGGTCAATATTTTTTTCCTGGTGGAGTGACTCAAATCTTCATTCCTGAAGGGTCTGGGCCATTTATGGTTCTGCCTGGATTGGACTGTATTAGTTTCTCATTGACTTTAATCACAGGGCATAGTAATATTAAGAGATACTCTAATGGATCTCCTGTATTCCACGCTAATCTTCCTTACCTCTATTGTGGAGTACTAGACTGATTTCACCTTGATGCTCCAGGTCAGTCACTCCAGCCAATTCTGTAACTCCCTTGTTAGCCTGTTGACTTCGAGGTAGGAGAAACCCAAAGTGTCCAGGTGTCAATCTTAACTTCCAGTTTAATGGAGTAATTGTTGTGTCTCCTGCTGGCAGCATTCGTCCCTCTGAAACTAAGACCTCTAGGCCAGCTGAATGTAACGTCACAGGAACAGGAAGCAAAGATTTTGCCAGTGGATCACTAGGGATGTTGGTGAGTAGTGAAACTTCCCCTTCCACCCCTTGATTCCTGGACCTGTGAATCCTAGCTATAGGAGATACAATACCATATATTGGATGCTGATTCAGAGCATACACAGCCTTCTGGAGAACTTTGCCTGAGTCCTGCAAAGTATTGTCACCTAGTTGGCATTGTAATTGTGGCTTCAAAAAGCCATTCCACCATTCTGTCAATCCAGCTGCTTTAGGATGATGGGAAACATCGTAAGACCAGTGAATTTCATGATCATGAGCCCACTGTCGCACTTTTTTAGCTGTAAAGTGAGTGCCTTGGTAAGAGGCAATGATGTGTGGAATACTGTTACAGTGGATAAGGCATTCCGTCAGTCCCTGGATGGTAGTCTTGGCAGAAGCATTATATGCAGGATAGGTAAACCCATATCAGCAGTAAGTGTCTATTCCAATGAGGACAAACCACGGCTCTTTTCATGACAGAAGAGGTCCAATAGGTCCAATATAATCAACCTGCCACCAGGTAGCTGGATGATCACTCCAAGAAATGGTGCCATATTGAGGGCTCAGTGTTGGTCTCTGCTGCTGCTGGCAAATTGGGCACTCACCAGTGGCTGGAGCCAGGTCACTCTTGGTGAGTGGAAGTCCATGTTGCTGAGTCCATTGGGTGATGACAGGGATGACTGGGAAAAGAGGCTGAGTGTTGTCCACAGAGCAGGTCATCCTATCCACTTGATTATTAAACTCCTCTGCTGAGGTGACCCGTTGGTAAGCACTCACGTGGGATACAAACATCTTCACAGTTTTCATCACTCAGAAAGGTCCATCCACATATCTCTTTCCTAAATTTGTCACCAATTTTCCAATCATGCATCTTCCAAGTCCATGACTATCCAGCCAAACCATTGGCTACAGCCCATGAATCAGTATATAATCACACATTTGGCCATTTCTCCTTTCACGCAAAGTGCACATCCAGGTGCACTGCTCAAAGTTCTGCGACTGGGAAGACTTCCCTTCACCATTGTCCTTCAGGGATGTCCTAGAAACGAGCTGTAGTGCTGCAGCTGTCCACTTTCCGGCGGTGCCTGCATATCATGCAGAACCATCTGTGAACCAGGCCCTAGCCTTTTCTTCCTCTATCAACTGATCATAGGGGACTCCCCATGAGGCCATTGGTGCAGGCTATGGAAGAGAAGGCAGAGTGGCAGGAGTGGAGACCATGGGCATTTGAGCCACTTCCTCATGTAACTTACTTGTCCCTTCAGGACCTGCTCAAAACCAATCACATATATACCACTTCCATTTGATGATGGTATTCTGCTCTGCACCACCCATTTCATGGCTAGATGGGTCAGAAACACCCAGTTCATGATAGGCAGTTCAGGTCTCATGGTGACTTGATGACCCATATCAAATGTTCTGTTTCCACCAAAACCCAGTAACAGGCCAAGAGCTGTCTCTCAAAAGGAGAGTAGTTATCTGTAGAAGATGGCAGGGCCTTGCTCCAAAATCCTAGAGGACTCCACTGTAGTTCATGCATGGGCCTTGCCATAGGCTCCAAACAGCATCCCTATCTGCCACTGACACCTCAAGCACCATTGGATCTGCTGGGTCACATGGCCCAAGTGGCAGAGCAGCTTGCACAGCAGCCTGGACCTGTTGCAGAGCCTTCTCCTGTTCTGGACCCCACTCAAAACTGGCTACCTTTCTGGTCACTTGATAAATGGGCTAGAGTAACACATCCAAATCAGGAATGTGTTGCCTCCAAAATCCAAACAGGGCCACTAGGCCTTATGCCTCTTTCTTTGATTGTAGGAGGGGCCAAATGTAACAACTTATCCTTCATTTTAGAAGGAATATCTCGACAGGCCCCACATCACTGGATCCTCAGAAATTTTGCTGAAGTAGAGGTTTCCTGAATTTTAGTTCAATGTATTTCCCATCCTCTGGCACACAAGTTTCTCACCAATAAGTCCAGTGTGTTTGCTACTTCTTGCTCACTGGACACAATCAGCATAATGTCATCAATGTAATGGACCAGTGTGATATCTTGAAGTGAAAGTGATCAAGGTCTCTCCAAATTAGATTATGACACAAAGCTAGAAAGTTGATATATTCCTAAGGTAAGACAATAAAGGCATATTCCTGGCCTTGCCAGCTGAAGGCAAATTGCTTCTGGTGGGCCTTATAGACAGGAATGGAGAAATAGGCATTTGTCAAGTTAATGGCTGCATACCAGGTACCAGGAGATATGTTAATTTGCTCAAGCAATGAAACCACATCTGGTACAGCAGCTGCAATTGGAGTCACCACTTGGTTAAAATTATTATAATCCACTGTCATTCTCTAAGATCCATCTGGCTTCTTCACAGGACAAACGAGAGAGTTGAACGGGTATGTGGTGGGAATCACCACCCCTGCATCTTTCAAGTCCTTGATGGTGGCACTAATGTCCGCAATCCCTCCAGGGATGAAATATTGTTTTTGATTTATAATTCTTCTAGAGAGAGGCAGCTCTATTGGCTCCCATTTGCCCTTTCCAACCATAGTAGCCCTAACCCTACCAGTCAGGGAGCCAGTGTGGGGGTTCTGCCAGCTGCTAAGTGGGTCTATGCCAATTATGCATTCTGGCACTGGGGAAATGACCACAGGATGAGTCCGGGGACCTACTGGACCCAGTGTAAGTTGGACCTGAGCTAAAACTCCATTAGTTACCTGATCTCCATAAGCCCCTACTTTAACTGGAGCACCACAATGACGTTTTGGTTCCTCTGGAATCAATGTCAGCTCAGAGCTAGTTTACGGTAGTCCCCAAATTGTCTGATCATTTCCCCTTCCTCAGTGCACAGTTACCCCAGTAAAAGGCCGGAGGTCTCCTTGGGGAAGAGTGGGAGAAAGATTAACAGCATAAATTGTCAGCAGCATAGTTGGGTCCTTCCTCAAGGGAAACTGGCCTCCCTTTCATTCAAAGGGTTCTGGTTCTGTAAACTGGCTCAAGTCTGGAAATTGATTGAGGGACTGTGATTCTGTTTTTATAATTCAAATTAGTCTTTTTTCCATTTAACCTAGACATTTTCTGCTTATATAAATTAAGTAGGAATGCAGTAGGCTTCTTATCAATTTCACTTGTGGGAACACTGTGATTAATTAGTCAATGCTAGAGCTCTCTATGAGTCAGACTATTCTGACTGCTGCTTTGCCTCTGCTGTTCATTATGGTAGCTGCACCCACCTTGCCTTTGACAGTTGAATGTGACCACTTGGCCTCTTCCACCCAGGATCTAACTATTCCCATAGTATTTAAATTTTGTAACTGAGTGACTGCAGTTCCCACTGTTAGATCTGATATACAGAGAGGAGCAATTACAGGGCTCCTCAAAGATGCAGGTGCTGGCTTCACAAATCTATTTTGCAAGGCATTGGTCAAAGGTATATCTTCTGGACCCTCCAGGCTGGGATGAGTAGGTCTAAAGTGACTAATCCACTCCACCGTCCCATTCTCCTTAGCCTTTAGATCCCTTCCACTACATTAAACCAAGTGAGAACAGGCATTTCCAGCTCACTCACAGTGGGCCATCTTTTAATCCACAGTTCAGCTAACCAAGAAAATACACTATTAGAACCTTTTTTTTAATGCATAGTCCCTACTTAGGGGCCCAAAATCAATAAATTCAGCCTGATCCAACTCTACGTTGCTTCCACCATTATCCCACACCCTTAATATCCATTCCCATGCTTGTTCTCCAGATTTCTGCTTATATAAATTAGAAAACTCAAGCAGTTCTTTTTGAGTGTAGTGCACCTCCTCATAGGTCACATGTTCAGCCTCACCTCTAGGGGCCTGCCACAGCTTTAATCTGGTTATAGGTCTAGAAGCAAACAGGGGTGTTGGGGGTGGCTCTTGAAGAGAATCAACATGACTTGCCTGGCAACTTTCTCAAGGGAGGCCATCACTGTTGCCTCAGGAAGCAAAAGGTTTATCTCCTCAGACAAAGGAGGAAAGGCTGATGGCAGCATGGTTCAGGGAGGAGATGCCTCCACTATTGGGGATAGGGAAGCTGTTTCTTCTGGCAAAAAAATGTTCATCAGAGTTTACAAACTCAGTGTCCCCAGCTTCATCAGGTTCCTCCCACACATCCCTATTACAAGGTGCAGGGTCTCATTCTTCTCCAATCAGTGCCCTCATTTTAATAGTAGACACCTGGCAAGGCTGTGCATGTACCTTTTGTTGCAGGTCAGCCACTCACACGATAAGAGCTTGTGTCTGTTTTTCCACAATTTTAGCTCTTTCGCTTCAGTAGATAAGACTCTCATTAACCTTAGCAGATTTGAGGCTCAGTATCTGCTTCTGAAGCCAGGAGTTAGAATCTCTGAGTTCATAATTGTCTTGGATCACTGAGTCCACTGAACTTAGAAGCAACTAACCAGCTTCATAGTTCTTTGGTTCTCCACATATGGTCGAAGGTATTACGTATAGAGTCACTAATCTCTTTGCCTCTCACAAGTGGTGAGTCCGGAATGTCAAATGCATTTATTTGCATAAATCTCTAAACAGTTCATGCCAAGGACTCTCAGTGTGCTTCACACTATTAGAAGTAGAGTCCTTAGCATTTTTGGGTCTAATCATGTTAAGCAGCCAACTCCAGAAATCCCCAAACCAACGAAAGAACTCCATCATCCTTAATATTCTGTTCCTCTAGAACCACTCCTGGTACCAAAATCTGTATTAGTCAGGGTTCTCTAGCGAGACAGAACTAATAGGATATATATATATCCTTGTGTGTGTGTGTGTGTGTGTGTGTGTGTGTGTGTGTGTGTGGTGAAGTAATTATTCTTTAAAAAGTTCCTTCTACAAACAAATAAATACATATGTAAATAAAGAAGGACAGCGGGAGAGAGAAGGAGAAATCTATTAAGGTTCTGTGATGGTTAATACTGAGTGCCAACTTGACTGGATTGGAGGATGCAAAGTGTTGATCCTGGCTGTGTCTGTGAGGATGTTGCCAAAGGAGAATAACATTTGTTTTGAGATATATGTATATATACATATATACTAAACCTTTTGTTTTGAGACATATGTATGTATACATATGCATATGTATATGTATATGTATACATACATATATGTGTCTATATTATATATACACATATGCATGTATATATATGTGTATATATATGTAGCTTTAGGCTAAACTTTTCATGCATTTCTTACATTTTTATTTCTTTCGTGGTCAGTGGAACTTATGAGGTTCCTTTGGTAGTGTTGCCTTTGTTTGATTCTCTCCTTCATATATATGTATATGTGTATGTATATATACATATACATTATTAAGTATTAACTCACATGATCAAAAGGTCCCCAAACAAATGTTAATCTCCTTTGGCAGCATCCTCACAGAAATAGCCAGAATCAATACTTTTCATCCTTCAATCCAGTCAAATTGGCACTCAGTATTAACCATCACAGAACCTTAATAGATTTCTCTCTCTCTCCCGCTGTCCTTCTTTATTTACATATGTATTTATTTGTTTGTAGAAGGAACTTTAAAGAATAATTACTTTACCACACTATAGAAATCCAAATTGCTGTTTTATATTATTGATTTTTCCTCATTAACAATGAGATTTTTATGCATACCTGTGTTATATGTATCTTTGCCTCAAATAAATAATAAATTAGCATTCATATATATTATAGGTCATATATATATACATATATATATATATATAACAGCTTCAATTTAGCTTAGTAGTTTTTCTACTCATAGTAACTCTAAATGATGAATACATTGAGTTCTGAATGACTTACATTTCTGTGACTTATACCTCATTTGGAAATCTCTAAATATTGTAGCTACAAAATAACTGTCTCTACCTCCCCTCCATTTGCTGAGGCAAAGTGAAATGAATCATCTACAATCTGTGCTGCAACTCAGAATTTATTTTGCAGTAGAAGTAACCTTATAAATGATTGTTAGCTCCATAACATAAATAAATTATATAATATTTATAGTAATTTTGTTGATAGCCATAGGGACTTCAACACGATTGATAGAATCATTTTCTAGCCAAAATGTTTTCAAACAATCAGTTTTGCTTTTGGAAACATAATAAGTACATTTGTAAATGGAATTTTATTGGACTTTGATGAATGCAATAGATTTTGTTATATAGGAAATAAAAAATATATACACTTTATGCTTTGCTAATAAATATATTGTCATGCAATTAATTTACATTTACCTTTGTGTCTCCATAATTACAGTAATAAATGTTAATTAATAAAATATAATAGCACATCAGGCCCTATAACAAATGAAGTATGCATAAACTAAATTAACATTCTTATTCCCACTCAA
Organism: Homo sapiens; assembly: GCF_000001405.40. Classification (NCBI taxonomy): domain Eukaryota; kingdom Metazoa; phylum Chordata; class Mammalia; order Primates; family Hominidae; genus Homo; species Homo sapiens. The sequence continues at coordinate 102,869,428 of NC_000006.12, read as the reverse complement.
ATTTATATCAGAAAATATTACCTTTTGATAATTAAAAATACAGGGATTCAAATGATGTACATACTGGAATTTTATAATTAAATGGTTAATTTTAATCAATCAATAAAAGTTCTATATTTGAAGCTGCTTTTGTATTATCATTTAATTTTACTTTCATGGCAAATGCTACTTGTTAATGTGGAGTGCAGTATGATGTTTTGATGTATGTTTATAATGTGGAATGATTAAATCAAGCTATTAACAAATATTTCACCTCATATGCTTATCATTTTTGGTGGTGAAAACATTTGAAATTTACTCTTTCAGCAAGTTTGAAATATACAATGCATTATTATTTATTATTGTCACTATTCTATGCGACAGATCACTAAAGATTTGTTACAAGAAATTCCTTAGACAAATTTAACAGATTAATTGACTGAAGAATGAATGGCAAACCTGGCAGCCCCAGAGCCAGAATAAGTTCAGAGAGTGCCATGATTCCATGTGGTCAAAGATTTACAGACAGAGAAAGAAAAGTGACATACAGATAATGGACATGAGGCACAGAAACTGCCATGGTTACAGCTCTGGCATTTGCCTTATTCGAACACGGTTTGAACTGTTGGACACCTCTGATTGGCCTGAAACTCAGTGATTGGCAGAAAGGTAAGTTACAGTTCACTATGTAGCGAGAAACCTTTAGGTCTAACTTAAAATATGTAAGGAGGCAGCTTTAGGCTAAACTTTTCAGGCATTTCTTACATTTTTATTTTTTTGGGGGTCAATGGAACTTTACAAGATTCCTTTGGCAGTGTCACCTTTACTTGATTCTTTGTTATCTTTATATTTTTTGTTATTCTTTATATCCTTGCATTAGTATATTTTCATTTAAATGAGCAAATCCCTCTTTCAATCTTACAGACTGTTTTTGATAAGTTAAAATATTGCCCTGTTAGATCTGTTGGCTGATGATATTGTCTCAAGGATTACAGTTGAATGGAATTGGATTGAAGTCCTGAGGCTGATGCTGAGTCAACAATGGAGAAAGCAGCTAGCAGGCTTACTTCCAGGGGCTTTAGTGGATGTGGGTGCTGGTTGGTTTCTAGGTGGACTGGACTGTCACTAGGACATTGATCTGTGGGGCTGGCACTGAGATGAGAATCATCCCAAGCATTCACAGATAGGAGGCCTCATACTAGGTATGCTGATGGCTGTTGCTTCCTGAAAGGGCTCCTGTTGAATCACTAGATGGGTCCCTGGGCTGGCAGTACTGCTTGAGTCTGTGGCTAAGATGGGCTGGAATTGAGAGTTTTATGCCTGCTCCCAAGACCAAGATCTTTAGGCCTGTCTTTGGAGTGATAAATAGGTGTGTCTCCTGTTGGGTTAGTGAGTGAGCAGGCCTGCTCTCAGAGTGGGGTTGAGAAGGGCTAAAAACAGGCCGGGCGCAGTGGCTCACGCTTGTAATCCCAGCACTTTGGGAGGCCAAGGCGGGCGGATCACGTGGTCAGGAGATCAAGACATCCTGGCTAACACAGTGAAACCCCGTCTCTACTAAAAATACAAAAAAAATTAGCTGGACATGGTGGCGCTTGCCTGTAGTCCCAGCTACTTGGGAGGCTGAGGCGGAAGAATCACTTGAACCTGGGAGGTGGAGGTTGGAGTGAGCCAAGATCGAGCCACAGCACTCTAGCCTGGTGATAGAGTGAGACTCCATCTCAAAAAAAAAAAAAAAAAAAAAAAAAAACTTATATGGCTATTGCTATTCAAGATCCACCATGTGACTGAGGTCAGGACATCAGCCTGCAGGGCCACTACTGGATGTGCTTCCCTCCAGGTACTCAGGCAGGCAGAACTACTCTCAGTCTATAGACAAGAGGGGACAGAACCAAGATCTAGGCCTGTTTCGAGAGCCACTGAGGACCAGAGGTTAGCAAGCCTGCTACAGAGACTCAGATGGGCAAGCTTCCTGGCAGGACCCTGACTGGGTAGAACTGCCCCCAAACCATAGCTGGGAGAGGTGAAAATTGAGTTTCAGTGCTAATTCAGAATCTTCAGTCAGACTGATGTTGGAAGCCCAACATGGTGGCACCAATAGAAAAGACTCCCAATGCTTCTCTATGTGGGCAGCATTCCTTACATACTGCAGCTGAGAGAGGCTGGAGCTGACATTCAGATTTTTTTTTTTTTTGGAACTTCTGTGAGACAGACACATGCGAGCCTGTCCAGGAATCTCTCTCAGGAGTTTCTTAAACAGGCCTGGCAACTCCTGGGCTGTGGCAGAAAGGGGCTGCAGCCTAGTGAGACTGCCCCTTTAGGATCAGCTTTGAAATAGAAGCTGGCAAGGTTTTGCAGTTGGCACAAAAAGATGCGTCTCCTAGCAGTTTTGTGTATAGGCAGGATAGCTTGGTGGCTGTGAGAGAGGGGCTGGATCCAAGACAGGGCCCTTCCGAATCCCTCTGTGGGATGGAGAATGACAAGCCTTTCACAAATGCTCAGATAGGCAAGTCTCCCTTTGGATCCTTGCGTGAGTAATACTAAGCACAACAGCTAGAGCGACTGGAGCCCAGTTACAGGGTAACTTTTGTATTTTATTTTTTATCTCTACACTTTTTAGGGTACAAGTGGTTTTTGGTTACATGGATGACTTGTATAGTGGTGAAGTCTGGGTTTTTAGGGTACCCATCAGCTGAATAGTGTACATTGTATCCAACATAATTTTTCAACTCTCACTTTCCTTCCCAACCTTTCCCCTTTTGAGTCTCCAATGTTCATTATACCATTCTGTTTGACTTTGTGTATCCATAGCTTAGCTGCCACTAGTAAGTGAGAACATGTAGTATTTGGTTTTCCATTCCCCAGTTACTTCACTTAGGACAATGGCCTCCAGTCCCATCAGAATTCCTGCAAAAGACATAATTTCATTCTTTTTTAATGGCTGAGTCATATTGCATGGTATAAATATATCACATTTTCTTTATCCATTCATCAGTAGTTGGGCACTGATGAATTCCATGTCTTTGGAATTGTGAATTGTGCTGTGATAAACGTATATATAGTATACAGGTGTCTTTTGGATATAATGACTTGTTTTCCTTTGCATAGATACCAGTAGTAAGATTGCTAGGTCAAATGGTAGATCTACTTTTAGTTTTTTGTGAAATCTCCATACTGTTTTTTCTATAAAGGTTGTACTCATTTACATTTCTACCAACAAAGTATAAATGTTCCCTTTCCATCACATTCACACCAACAGGTATTGTTTTTTTAACTTTTTAATAATTGCCATTCTGGCTGGAGTAGGGTGTTATCTCACTGTATATTTAATTTGCATTTCTCCAATGATGAGTGATGTTGAGCATTTTTTTTCATATGTTTATTGGCCATATCTTTTGAGAAATGTCTGTTCATGTATTTTGCCCACTTTTTAATAGGGTTGTTTTTTCCTTGTAAATTGGTTTAAGTTCCTGATAGACCTTTGTCAGACGCATATTTCGCAAATATTTTCTCCTGTTCTGTAGGTTGTCTGTTTACTCTGTTGATTATTTCTTTTGCTGTGCAGAAGGTTTTTTTTTTAGTTTAATTAGGTCCTATTTATTTATTTTTATTTTGTTGCATTTGCTTTTGAAGTCTTAGTTATAAATTCTTTGCCTAGACCAAATTCCACAAGAATTTATGTTAGATTTTCTTCTAGGATTTTTACGGTTACAGGTCTTAGATTTAAGTCTTTAATATATCTTGAGTTAATTTTTGTATATCATGAAATACAGGGCTCCTGTTCATTCTTCTACATGTGATTATACAATTTTCCCACCACCATTTATTGAATAGGAAGTTCTTTCCCCAGTGTATGCTTTTGTTTGATTGATGAAGATCAGTTGGTTTTAGGTATTTGGCTTTATTTCTGAGTTCTATATTATGTTCTTTTTGTCTGTGTGTCTACTTTTATACAAGTGCCATGCTGTTTTGGTTACTATAGCCTTGTAATATAACTTGAAGTTAGATAAAATACCTGGGTATTATTTTTTGTGGATACTGTAAATAAGACTGAGTTTTTTCTTTGATTCTCGGCTTGATCATTATTGATATACAGCAGTGCTACTAATTTGCATAAATTGGTTTTGTAACCTGAGACTTTACTGAATTTATTTATCAAAGCTACAAGTCTTTGGGAGGAGTCTTTAGGATTTTCTTGATATAAGATCATGTCATCAGCCACAAGAGGTAATTTGACTTGCTCTTTTCCAATTGAGGTGCCTTTTATTTTTCTCTTGACTGGTTGCTTTGGCTAGGATTTCCACTATATGTTGAATAGAAGTGGTGAAAATGCTCATCCTTGACTTGTTCCAGTTGTGGTAATGCCTTCAAATTTTCCCCATTCAGTATGGATTTCTCAAACATGGCTTTTATTATTTTGAGGAATAGTCTTTCTATGCACAGTTTATTTAGGGTTTTTATATAAAACAATGCTAGATTTAACAAATGCTTTTTTTGCACCTATTAAAATCATACATTTTGTTTTTAATTATGTTTATGTTATGTGGTGAATTATATTTATTGATTGCATATGTTGAACAATGCTTACATCCCTTGGATGAAACCTACTTGATCATGGTGAATTATCTTTTAGATGTGCTGTTGGATTCAGTTTGCTAGAATTTTGTTGAGAATTTTTACATCTATATTCATAAGAGATGCTGATTTCTAGTTTGCTTTGTGGTGGAGACTTTCCTGGTTTGGGTATCAGGGTAATATTACCTTCATCGAATTCAGCTGTGACACTGTCTGGTACTGGGTTTTTTTGTTAAAAAAATTTTATTACTGATTCAATCTCAATCGTTATTGGTCTGTTTAAGGATTTCTATTTCTTCCTAATTCAAGCTTGGGGGATTGTGTGTTATATTAAATTTATTCATTTCCTCTAGATTTCTGTTTTGTGTGCATAGAGGTGTTCATTCGTAGTAGCCTCAGATGACCTTGTATATTTCTGTGGTGGAAATTATTATATCTCCATTTTTGTTTTTTTTTCTATTTTTAATTTAATTTTATTATTATTTATTTTTATGTTCAATGTCAACACTTTAAAAATAAATTTAGCAATTACTGATTTAAATGTGCATTGCATTATAAGCTGCTTGTCTATAAGCATACATTCTTTTTTTTCAGCTTTCATTTTACATTCAAGGGATACATGTGCAGGTTTTTTTACCTGGGTATAATGCGTGATGCTAAGGTTTGGGGTACTAATGATCTTGTCACCTAAGTGGTGAGCATAGTACTCAACAGTTAATGTTTTCAAATCTTGACTCCCTTCGTCCTTCTCCCCTCTAGTAGTACTTCTAGTAGCCTAGTGTCTCTTATTGCCATCTTTATGTTCAGGAGTACCCAATGTTTAGATCTCACTTATAAGTGAGAACATGTGGTAATTGCTTTTCTGTTCCTGTGTTAAATAACTTAGGATAATGGCCTCCAGCTGCATCCATGTTGCTGCAAAGGATGTGATTTCATTCTTATTTATGGTTGTGTAGTATCTCATGGTGTATAAGTACCACATTCTCTTTACCCAGTCCACTGTTGATGGGAATATTGGTTGATTCCATGTCTTCGCTACTCTGAATAGTGCTGCAATGAATATATAAGTGTCTGTGTCTTTTTGGTAGAACACATATTTTTGTTTGTTTTTTAGATGCATACCCAGTAATGGGATTGCTGGTTTGAATGGTAGTTGTGTTTTAAGTTCCTTGAGAAAACTATAAACTGCTTTCCACAGTGGCTGAACTAATTTCTATTTCCACCAACAGTGTGTAAGCATTTCTCTTTCTCTGCAGCCTTGCCAACATCTGTTGTTTCTTTGACATTTTAACAGTCATTCTGACTGGTGTGAAATGGTATCTCGTTGTAGTTTTGATTTGCATTTCTCTAATGATGAGTGATATGAAACTTTTCTCACATGTTTGCTGGCTGCTTGTATTGTCTTCTTTTGAGAAGTGTCTGTTCATGTCTTTTGCCCATTTTAAGTTAGTTTATTTGATTTTTACATGTCAAATTATTTAAGTTCCTTACAGATCCTGGATATTAGACCTTGTCAAATGCATACTTTGTGAATATTTTCTCCCATGCTGTATAATGTCTGTTTAATCTGTTGACAGTTTATTTTGCTGTGCAGAAGCTCTTTAGTTTCATTAGTTCTCACCTGTCCATTTTTGTTTTCGTTGCAATTGCTTTTGAGAACTTATTCATAATTTTTTTTCTAAGGCCAATTTCCAGAATGGTGTTTTTTAGTTTTTCTTCTTGAATCTTCATAGTGTGAGTTCTTACATTTAAATCTTAATCCATCTTGATTTTTATATATGGTGAAAGGTAGAGGTCCAGTTTCATTCTTCTGCATATAGCTAGGCAGTAATCCAAGCATCATTTATTTAATAGGGAGCCTTTTCCTTATTTATTATTTTTTATTGACTTTGTTGAAGACCAGATGGCTGAAGATGTGCTGCTTTATTCCCGGATTTTCTATTTTGTTCCATTTGATTATGTGTCTGTTTTTGTACCTGTCCCTTGCTGTTTCAGTTACTGTAGCCTTATCTTACAGTTTGAGGTCAGGTAACAGGAGCCTCCAGCTTTGTTCTTTTTGCTTAGGAGTGCCTTGTCTATTCAGGCTGTTGTTTGGTTCCACATAAATTTTAGAATAACTTTTTTTTTCCAGTTCTGTGAAAAATGATTTTGGTGTTTGATAGGAGTAGCACTGAATTTGTAGATTGCTTTGGGCAGTATGGCCATCTTTAACAATATTGATTCTTTCAATCCATGGGCATGGAATATTTTTCCATTTGTTTGTGTCATCTCTAATTTTTTACAGCAATGTTTTGTAATTTTATTTGTAGAGATCTTTCACCTCTTTGGTTAGTTGTACCCCTACATATTTTATTGTGTGTGTGTGTGTATGTGTGTGTGGCTATTTTTAATGCAATTGCACTCTTGTTTTAGCTCTTAGCTTGAACATTATTGGTAAATGGAAATACTACTAATTTTTGTACATTGATTTTTGTATCCCAAAACTTTACTGAAATTGTTTATCAGTTCCAGGAGCCTTTTGGTGAAGTCTTTTGGATTTTCTAGGTACAGAATCATATCATCCATAAGTAGTAATAGTTTTATTTATTCTTTTCCTATTCAGATGCCTTTTATTTCTTTTTCTTGCTTGATTTCTCTGGCTAGCACTTCCAGTACTATGTTAAATAGAAGTGGTGAAAGTGGGCATCAATCTCTTATTTCAGTACAGGGTAACTTTTTGATCCACTGCTAAGACTGATGTCAGTGGGCAGACCAGATTGCCAAGGCTCTGGTGAGCAAAATTTATCTTGGACCCCCTGGCACATGGTTTCAGTCACAGGCTCAAGACCAAAGAGGTCAATGGCCAAGTTTGAACCCCAGAGCATGACTGGCAGGTTTGCCACTTAAGTATGCACTGGCACTCTCAAAATGACTCTCCTAGGTCTTGGGCTCCATTTCACAACCTCCTGCCACATCTGAAGATTTTCACAGAGTCTTAGCTGTAGATGTGTACAGAATTATTATTGTTGTGGGGACATAAGAACAGATGATCTCCTAACAGCTTGCTGATATTAATGAAGATTTTAATCAATATCTTTCTGAGTGTCACATCACTGAAATTATTTATATAAACTAGTGACCCTTGACAGCAGATATATGTATAATTTTACATTTGCTTACATGTATATTTTTCATATTGTACAATATATTTTTGATAGACTTTATTTCTTATAGCAATTTTAAGTTCATAGCAAAACTGAGGGATATGTATAGTTAATTCCCATATAGCCCCTGCCCCGACACATGCATAGATTTCCCTACTCTCCACATCCCCTATCAGAGTGGTACGTTGATTACAACTGATAAACTTACATGAATGAATCATTATCACTCAAAGTCTACACTAAGGTTCACTCTTGGTATTGTACATTTCATAGATTTGGGCAAATGTACAGCAACGTGTATCTGCCATTACAGTATCACACAGAGTAGTTTCATCAGCCTAATAATCCTGTGTGCCCCTTTTCACCCATTCTCTTCCTAACCCCTGGAAACCACTAGACTTTATATTCTCTCCACAGTTTTGCCTTTTCCAGAATTTCATATAGTTGGAATCATACAGTATGTAGCCTTTCAGATTGGCTTTGTTCACTATGCATTTAAGTTTCTTCATGTCTTTTCATGGCTTGATAGCTCATTTCAATTTAGTGCTGAATAGTATTCCATTGTCTGGACAGAGTATAGTGTGTTTATCCATTCACATACTGCAGGGCCTGTTGGTTGCCTCCAAGTTTTGACATTTATGAATAAAGCTGTAATAAACATCTGCGTGCAGGTTTTGTTTGAACCTAATTTTTCTACAATATCTTTTTTACATATATTACCAAATTCCATATAAAACAATAATTTTATTTGGTAGGGCTTATTCCCATAAATTATAAAAACAAAATTTAATGTTAGCAAGCTTAAAAGCCATTTCCCAAGGACTCACGTTTGTTTGTAAGAAAGTTGACAGTGAATTACAGTTTCTGACACCAAATATTGGCTTCTGTTTGTTAACTATAAAGATTTGCCATTTTATTAAATAATTTATATATAGTAGTATGCTTAGTAATGTACTTTACAGGTAAATCAACTTAAAACACCTAAAATTTTAGTAAACTCTAGTGATTTTGCTTTTTTACTTTAACAAACTTACCTTTTTAAGTATAAATGGGCAATAATAATAACTTTAATTTATTCATTTTTTGACGTAATATCTCCAGGGATTTTATTTTATCATATTTGGGTCAAGTGGCAACCAGTTTGCATCTAGTATTTACCACTGAAATGGCTACTTAAAATCTGTGGTGAAAAATAAACTCATTTGTTTCTTCCTAATTGTTAACTACTATTCAAAGATTTTTAATGGTAGTGGTTAATGTGGAACTGCACATTCGGTAATACTATTCGGTATACATTCGGTAATACTATCATAGGCATTTTGTTTGTACTTAGGTTCAGTTCCATTAGCAAAGTGCATATAGTACATACACTTTTCAAGTTTGCCAGTGCATATTAGTATGCATTTTTGATTTTACAGTGCATACATTAGCTACTTTGTGCATACAATGTAGCTACATTGCTACAGCTACAGCATAGCAATGTATGCTGTGCCTTTTTTTTTTTTTTTACCAAAAAAAGGTATTGTCTTCTTGAGATTTTAGGAATAATTGAGATGTATCAAGAAGATTGTATTATTGGAGCCCCAGAGGTAGATGACAGATGTCATTTATAACCAGCTATATTTTTTATTAATGAACGTTATTTTGCTGCTATATATTATTCTTTACCTAGTCTCCTAAATGGAAAATGGGAAAAAACATAGTTTACCTTTTTTAAATTCCATCTTAATTTTTTTATTTTAAAAACATGAATGACACTAGTGATGGGTTAAAAAGAAAAAGCTCCTGTTTCCAAGGTAACCAATCTGAATTAATAGCAGCCCTACAGAATTTCATGTTCAAGATATAATGTAAAAGGTTCAATTTGTAGTTGAGAAATGAAAGCCAAATTGCTATATTTTAAAACTGATTTCAAAATCTACTTAAATTTTAAAAGTTTAGGCTGATAATTTTAATTTAGATTAGGTACTAATATTTCTTTCTCTGAGAAAGAACAGTTACTGGTGAAAATTCAGAGTGAGATAGAAATGTCAATCATTTCTTTCAATAATTTAATTAGCTACACAACAGAATATGAAACAAGCATATGAAAATTAGCGAATAAAATATTCTGGTGGAGAACTACCACTAACACATTTTCTTTAAAGATCATGTGATCATCTCTTACTCTCTTGCATATGTTTATTAATTTCTTCCTTTATTCTGTTTTTTATTGTGCTCTTACATTTTATGGCAGAATCATAGAGGTACTAAATAGATGAATCTGAGGTTTCATTACATGAATTCTGATTTCAGAGCCTGAACTCTTAGCCTCTATGCTATAATATTCCACAGAATAGAGTGCAGAAGAATGAGTTATTATAAAAATTTACAGAAAGGTCAGGAATGATGCAGTAGACATGTTATTTATCAAGGCATCAATTCAGAGAAAGGCTGTAAAATTTCTGAGGCACATAGTTGACAATGACACTTAAGACAAAAGTAAATCAAAAGGGCTGGGTGTGGTGGCTGAAGCCTATAATCCCAGCACTTTGGGAGGCTGAGGTGGGCAGATCCCCTGAGGTCAGGAGTTCGATATCAGCTTGGCCAACATGATGAAACCCCATCTCTACTAAAAATACAAAAATTAGCCAGGCATGGTGGTGCATGCCTGTAGTCCCAGCTACTCAGAAGGCTGAGGCCGAAGAATCGCTTGAACCCAGGAAGCAGAGGTTGCAGTGAGCTGAGATCGCACCACTGTACTCCTGTCTGAGTGACAGAGTGAGACTCTGTTTTAAAAAAAAAAAAAAAAAGGAAATCAAAAGATCAAATAGGTTAAAATGGTAGGCAATTAATTAAGACTATAAAATTGAAACTGGTAGCTGTTGTTTTACCTGTAAATAACTTTCAAGGACAATGGTGGTCAAAACTGAGTTTACATTTATATATTATATTATATTTATATATTTTATTGATTTATGCAATTAAGATGTAAAATTACATATTGATACAAGCATATTAAATGTATAGTTTACCTTTAATGAGAGTGCATGTATGTGTGCACGTGCATGTCTGTGTGTGGGTGTGCATCCTGACTTAGATAATCAGTTTTCATTTATATGACAGAGGTATTCTCAGGAAAAAATTTTAATGTCAAATAGCTCAGTCAGTAATAACAAGGAATTCATTGAAATAAAGTTTGTAAATTTGGATGGAACACATTGATGATTTGTTCATTGAACTGGTTCATAAGTTTTTGTCATATATGGGAGAGACCTGTTTCATGACCTATTTGGAGGGAGTGGAAGTGGGGCAGGATAGTTAAATACTTAATACATTGATTAGGGATCTCTAGCTAAATCTAATACTGTAATTCTGAAACCAACATGAATGACTTGTGGACACTTTGACTGTGTTAATAAATGATATCAAGACAAATGTTGATAAGATAAACAAGGTGGCTTGATTCTAAAGCTTGAGGACAAGAGAGCTCTTTATATACATATATATATATACACACACATACACACACATACCATGGTTAGCATCCCCTTGGAAACATTGTGATGGTTAATTTCACGTGTCAGCTTGACCGGGGCAATGGATAATCAGATAGCTGGTTAAACATAGTTTCTGAATGTGCCTGTGAGAGTGTTTCCAAAGACAATGAATAGTACAAAGAAGGATGGAGGAATTCCTTCTCTGCCTGACCAGCTGAGCTAGGGCGATTATATTCTACTGCCCTCAGTGCTCCTGGTTCTCAGGCCTTCAGTCTGGGACTGGGATCTCCAGCATTGCCTCTCAGAATATCAGGACTTCCACTGGCCTTCCTGGTTCTTCAGCTGGTAAATGGCAGCTTTTAGGACTGAGCCTCTATAATCACATATCTCCTACTGGTTCTGTTTCTCTGGAGAACCCTAACACACTCATGAAAATAAATGTTTCTCTTTATCCATGATATGAAAAGTTGTTTCTTCCTGAAAGGAGATTAATTTATGAGATAAAAAACTTTATATTTTGTAAAATTCTATAGGTCAAAGCCTCCCTAGAGTACTGCCAGCAAGATCCAGTAAGTAAAATTGTCCTAAAATTAGGTTCTTTAATATCTGAATGCTTATGGCTGGAATACCCATAAAACACGTTTACATCATATTGTTTTCTATAGTAAATAGCATTAAGCAGGTAAAACAAAATAATTTTTTTAATGTCATGGTAGGCTTTCTCTTTATATGTTTAGAACATGGATATTGGCTGATATAGAATAATTATCTACTGATTCCTTGAGATAGCTAAATCATATTTAGAGGTCCTCATGTGGTCTAAATTTATATGACAATCCTACATATAAATAAATGTCCTCAGATCTGGAGAGTAGTTTGAGAACAATTTTCTTCCTTAACGAGAATTAAGAAATCTAGGCAGCACAATAATGCTAACCTGAAAATTTTAACTCAGAAACGTCAATTCAATTTATAATTGTTTTCTTTAGTGGTTTTAATTTTTTTTTTTTTTTTTTACTGTGAGCCAAAGATTTCACTTGGCTTTATTGAATGTGTTTATTTTTTTATTTTTATTTTATTTTATTATTATTATACTTTAAGTTTTAGGGTACATGTGCACAATGTGCAGGTTTGTTACATATGTATACATGTGCCATGTTGGTGTACTGCACCCATTAACTTGTCATTTAGCATTAGGTGTAACTCCTAATGTTATCCCTCCCCCCTCCCCCCACCGCACAACAGTCCCCAGAGTGTGATGTTCCCCTTCCTGTGTCCATGTGTTCTCATTGTTAAGTGGTTTTAATTTTTAAAAAGTGTCCCCTGAATTCCAATTGTTTTTAGTACAGTGAGACTACCTGTTCTATATTTCGAGTACGTCTGATTATTACAGAACTCTTGTTTTAGCAAAATTCTCCATTAGAACTTGTCAGTTTTTCAAGTTTCATTCTGGCAATCGTCTAAATATCATTTGCACTTTCATCTGCCCTTTAAATCTTTTTCTTCTGGCTCTCTATTTTCTACATATAGACATGCCCAAAGCTGGTTTTAACATGTCTCTCAAGGAATGTTTCTGTTTTGTCTTTTCAGAGCAAAAGTGGGTTTAATTGGTCTATATTTTCTTAACAAAATGAGTGTGTTTTTACCCACACATGTAAGGCCCTGAGCTAATTACTACAAGGCATACAAAGAGAATAACAAAAAATATGGGGTAACAAGGTAAATATAAATAAATTGATGGTAAATACTAAAAGGCAGCAAAATGAATTAAATATATTATAGAAAGGTATGTTATACACATTTAGAGGAGAGAGATGGAACCTTACTTTGGGGAAGGATTAACGTAAGATATGTGGCTTAAGGAGATGAATCCTAAAGGTAGAGTACAAATTTGATGGAGAAAAAGGTAGAATTAGATAGTATACCCATGGGAGAGGCCAATCTGATGGTGGGGAGCAGGACAAATACTACTTTAATCTTTAAAACGTAAGAATATTAAAATGGAAAAGAGATTATTTTGGAGGGGTGCATTGCTTTTAAAATAACAAAGAGGACATTTTTATATCTATTTCAAGTTTTTGGCCAGCTCTAAATTGACTAATAATCCTATGTTAGACACAAAAGCTTGGTTTGTAAATAATAATAGGCTTCTTAAGCCTCTGTTCATCTTATTTCATATTTTTCCCCTTTCCTGCCACTTACAGAAAGACACATGTGGTGTTTATTTCTCCTATTGCATGTATAATAGTGGTGAAGTAATTGAGATCAGCTCAAATAGATATTACACACGATATGCCTTAATTATTATTTAATCAAATTGACCCTCTAATAATATTGAAGAATATCTTTAACAATGAAAGTATGTTTAGGATCCTAAATATCCAGCTGTATGACTTGATCTCTAAAAATTTACTTGTAATATTCTGAAATAATATTATTATATAATATAATTAAGATGCAGTTTAATTTTAATTTCTTGAGAAATATTTAAGCAGCACTATCATGAATCTCCTGTATCTAATGTAAGCTAATGATTGCATTTATTATTCAATTATCTATTCATTATTAATAGATGTAATAAATAACCAAATGTAAAATATTTTTGATAGAAAAAGACATGGTGAAAATTGCCAAAATTTAATTCAAGATGAGCATCATATCCTCTAATGAATAAAGCTTTTGAGGAGAAGAAAGAATAATGTTTAGCTAATACTAAGATATTATTAAAATACTAATATATAAGGGTTAATAATAATATTACTTGAAAATATATTTTAAAGCTACATATAATGAGAATTAACTCTACAAAATTTTGGTTGATTTTTAAGTATTTTAGATTATTTATTTTTATACTAAAATTAATTATATTGATATATGTTTCAAATTGACAATAAAATGTGCTGGCAAGAATGTGAAACTGCATCTCCCACACACTGCTGGTAGAATTGTTAAATAGTAGCACTTTAATAATTGTTTAACTCATTCTTAATATTAATTTACAGTTACAACATAATCTAGGCATTTTAAAAATGAAAATAACAAAATGGGTTTCCACAGTCTTATACAGGAAAATTTCTAGCACCCTAATTCATAATAGCTGCACACTGTGAGCAACTCAAATGTTCATCAACAGATTAATAAAGATCAAATTGTTACATATCCTGCAATGGAATACTATCCAGAAATACAAATGAGTTATTGATACAGGCAAAAAAATGAACAAATCTTAAAAACATTATATTGAGATAAAGGAGCTACCACTGAGAGTGGTACTTCAGATTGACTGGTAAGAGGAATGATGAAACATTTTGGGTGATGGAAATATTCTATATTTTGTGTTGGTTGGTAGCTATTTGGAGGAATACAGTTGTCAAACCTCGTGAATGTGAACACTTAAGTTCTGTGCATTTTACATTATATAAATTATACCTCAACTAAAAATTACAACAAAAAGCTTTTCAATGCTACTTTCAAATTGGTTTATACAAAGTGTAAAATATTCATTTATATGTATTAAAATGTTTTAAGGTTAATCATACCTCTACAATTTTGGTCATAAAGTAATTCTTCTCTGAAAATGTAAAACTGTTATGTTAGAAAATATTTTTTAATTAGCATGTCTGCTTTAAACAAAACAATAAACTTCAGTGTGATATGAAAGAAAAATATTGACAGGAGCCTATATGTTAGATTTTTTTTTGTTTGATAGTGAAATTGCAAGTTTTCTTCGTAATTTGTTTCTTTACCAAATGTATTTATGATTTCAGCCTATGATAAAAATCGTTTGCCATGAAGTAGATTTCATTTGTTGGAAATGTGACTACTTCAGAAAATACCAATTTGGGTATGATGTGAGTAATAGTTGAATAAAATGAATAAATCAAACAAATATAAATTGAAATTTGAACAGTCTTTAGTTCCAAAATAATTTAGTTGAGTTCTGAAAGAAGTTTTAGTTAAAATCAGCCCCCTATGTTAGAGATATGGGTGTATTATTCATTATTTATAAGATAAATATATAATAAGAAATATATAAACTTTTACCAAATAGAGAGTCATGGGAGATATATTTTTCTAAAAAAGGAAAACTTACCATTTCACCTAGGAAATTAAAATATCAGAAGACTATGTGAGCTTTGACCGACCTTGGCCAAATTCAATACTATACAATTTATGATTACCTATTTTAGTGTTAGAGGAAAAATGGAATTAGCAAATTGCATTTGTTGTCTTTTGCTATAGTGCAAATCAAAATAAGATTATTTTACAGTACACTATTTTTACATTCCATAAGGAAAATAAATTTTGTTTGCCATATCCCTGTTACAAATCTCTTTTGATTTAAAAAATTAAGCCTGCTTTCAGATTAATGTTTCTATTAAAAACAAAATGTGTCCCTTGGATGTGCTTCAATTAGATAATGTAGATTTGATTGAATTTTGCCACAGAAGATCATTTTTCTTTCCACAGAAGATAATAAATACATCTACAACCCTTATCTCCTCCGAGTCATAAAGCTTGGCAGCAGCTGTTGGTCAAATCTCCTTCTGTTTACCCTCCTCCTCTCCACTGCAGAGTAAGTTAATCATATAATCTCAGTAAGCCTTGTGCTTTCATGGTGATAATTAACAGTAATATTTATATGATACTTATTCTGAGTCTAGTACTAAGATCTTTACACATATTAACCAATTTATTCTTGTAACAATCCTAGGCTTAAGTCAATATTATTATCAGAGATGCTGAGTGACCTGCCCAAGTTTACCCAGTTAGTAAGCAATGATACAGGTTTCCAACCCAGCCTAATTGGCTCCAGTCACTGCATTCTTAGCCTCTACACCATGCTGTCTCCCTTGCCTGGTGGAAGGAAAGTAGTGCATGTAACAAATGAATTTTATTTGTCATTAACTTGATATACAGTTATGGAATAGCGGAATAATCCTTTTGACTAAACTCTGCTTTTATTGTTGGGCACACTTAATCATATGGCTTTTAGAGTAAAATTAGGTAAGCTTAACCTGGAGCAGAAGTCATGACTGATTTAGATAAAACTCTAAAATTATTTTCTGTTTAGGCCACTCTTTCATTTTTCACTACTTCTCTGAACATCTTACTGTTGGGGTTCAGCCTGTCCATTCCTGATACTTAGGGTCCCATGTGGTTAAACATGGTTAAGTTTTTACTTTTCTAGTCTAAGATTTGGCAACCTAACTACAAACAACAATTTATTACTTTATAAACACTCATAGGATAGGAATCTGTAAGTGAAATAAATGTGTGAATTAATTAACTAATTAAATGATTTGCTCACCTTAGAGTAAAACCAATTAGCAGATTATTAGTCATCTTAAAAACAAGTGAAATATTTCCTTAAAATGTGTTTATAATCCAATTTATCTGCCCCCTTTCTGCCATTTTATATAAAATGGAGAAAGAGCTTACCAGAATTTATTCCCACTGGATTGATAACTAGGCAAGCTTGGAATAAAGTTCATTGTTAGACATTATTTTGTTCACTCTTTTAAAAAAGGGCTTTATTAAGAAAGACCTTAATAAAATGCCAATATTTATAGTATATAATTTGATAAATATACATACATATGCATCCCATGAAATGACCCCCCAGTCAAAATTACGCAGTTTTTTTAGACAGCTTATAAAATTTTTAGTGGATGCTTATCTCAATTATATATCCCATTGGACAGCACAGTAAAATCTTCTATAGTTAGGCAGCATACATTTATTCTTACTCCTAATTACTTGCCTCTAAACCAGTTCCTATCTGTGCCAGATATGTGTGTGTGTGCATGTATGTGTATGTGTGCACATGTGTGTGTACAAATGGAGTAAGGCTAATAGCACATACATGTATATTATAATTCAAAAGTTTTGTTAAACATGGTATCTTTCCCTGG
This sequence comes from Homo sapiens, assembly GCF_000001405.40. Lineage (NCBI taxonomy): Eukaryota > Metazoa > Chordata > Mammalia > Primates > Hominidae > Homo > Homo sapiens. The sequence goes on along the minus strand of NC_000006.12, from coordinate 102,852,340 downwards.
AAAGGATATTTTTGTCACCTAATATTACATTTGTTTGTGATCTACAGTCATCTATTTTATTCTATTCTATTTTTCATTTGCTCATCTGATATATATAGAGAGATTCCAATATCAGTAAAAATTCTGACCCATTTTGGAATGTTTTAGTGTTTGGATTCTGAATAAAATTGTCCATGTCCACTGAAAGCCAATCAGGATAAGTTTAACACTTCCGTACTCAACAAAAACTCTTTCAAAAAATAATGTTTATGCCATTATATTCTACCCATTTATTTATATTAAACCATCATTTACATACAGGAAATTTTCCCCCACAATGAAAACTGAACAAAATTGTTACCGAATTTGATTAATTTTAATGTAAGTGAGACAATTCCGTGAATGCAACTTTTGTAGTTTTCATGTCATAAACAATAAATAAAAGACATAATGAATACATTTTAAAAAATAGAGTAGAGAATCTAACATGTCTTTTATTTATTACTCCAATGGCAAACTTTAAATGTATAAAATATTCCCTGAAGGGTGGATAAATTTAATGTGATTAAATTCTAAGAGGAAAATCTAAATATATATATATATATTTTATAAAGAAGTTGGCACACCATAGAAAATTTCCAAATGCATTCAATGTGGATATAATTTTCAAAACATTCTATTTATTTATCTGTGTTCTGCTTAAACTGTTTCCTATCTATTTTTTTGCTGGTCTCCTGATTGTTATTGCCAACACACAAATATAAACAGGAGTTTTAATTCTTGCTGGTTCTTCTGTGTGTTTCTTTTTCTCAGCCTATTATCCTAATCCTTTCTTTGTAACTTTATTATTATTATTTTCAAAAGCCAGTTGTGATGGGAGACGTAGCATTTTCGATTCAGGTGGGGAAAAGATTAACTGGAATACAAAGAAAGCTTTCATGTGGATAATCTGAGAGAGAGGGAGTACGGGAAGAGAAAACAAAGATAGGTCATCTAAATGTGATTGTGACAGTCATGTTTAACGTTATCCTGATTACCACAGTGCATTTCAACCAGAGCAAAGATTTTTATTTGTTCAACACATTTATGATAAATAGCTTTGAGAAAGTTTGTTTATTTAAGCTAGTCCCTAAAAGTTTTGTTTCATTTAAATATACTAGAGAAATGAAGGAGAATTAAATTTGGGAAAAATTACATAGGTCTATTATTAAAGCATATTTGAGCATAAACTGAGTTTGAATTAAATAAATAAGAGCTTTATATTCAATATGGAAAGAAACTCCAGAGAATTTCCTTAGGTTTTAGGATGTCAAGCAACAGTGAACTCTGATTGAAGAAAACTGACTAGATAAAAATATTTTTAAATGAGCATCTTTATAACTTTATGAGTAAATAGGTATTATTCTCATTGTATCAGTGTGCTCTGCATTAATAGCAGGTGACTTGAAGTGATGAGATAAAATTGCAAAAAGTATTATAGTAAGTTATAAATATAATAGAAGAGGTGTACAAAGAGGTTTAAATGAATGTGGATCACTAATACAGAGAAGGGACATTGTTGCCCTCTTCCTTAGAATGAGGTTATGACAACAGCAGCAGCAACAATGATAATCAAAATAAAAATACTAATTAATATTTATGAATCACATTCTATGTATCAGAAATATTCCTGTTTTATTTGTGTTGATTCTGTTTTGAAACCTCACAATAATCTATGAAGTATTATTATCTTTAACCCATTTTAAAGATGAAAAAACACAGGCTAGTGATGTTACCTAACTTACTTAAGATCTTGACAGCTGGGATATATTGGAGCTGACTTTGAGCCTAGGAAGTTTGGGGCAAAGTCTCACTCTAACAAAATACATAAGTTTTTATACCTTAGTTTCACAAGTCCTTTATGAGGTCTCTTTGCCTTTGTATTGGACAGAATTTACTTCCTTAATGTTTTCACATGAGTAAATCCTCCTTTCTCTTCCTCATATTCATAATATTTGCATAATTCGACATACATCTCTAGTGGCTTTTTTTTTTTTTTTAGACGGAGTCTCGCTCTGTCATCCAGGCTGGAGTGCAGTGGAGCGATTTCGCTCACTGCAAGCTCCGCCTCCCGGGTTCACGCCATTCTCCTGCCTCAGCCTCCCGAGTAGCTGGGACTACAGACGCCCGCCACCACGCCCGGCTAATTTTTTGTATTTTTAGTAGAGACGGGGTTTCACCGTGTTAGCCAGGATGGTCTGGAGCTCTTGACCTCGTTATCCGCCCGCCTAGGCCTCCCTCTAGTGGCTTTAATGTATTGTGTCTTAGTGCCTTTCAATGCAAGCTCGTGTATAGTCTACTAAGTCCATTCTGCTACTTCAGACTCCTATCTCAATACTTTCCTCTAAACTCATGACCCTCTAATTATTCTGGATGACTCCATGTTCCAAAAAATAGACACATATGACGATCCATCACTCAAAACATTGATTTACAATATTCTTTCAATCTGTCATGTTTATTTCACTTTTCTGTTTATCAAATAAAACCCACTATTTAACTTAGCACAATTGTCTATCTCCTGTATTATTTTTTAATTACATTTGCTCGATTTAGTAGTTCCATTTCCTGTTCTAACTTACCGCCTTACCTTTATCCTTATTATAGTACTTTTTTCTGTTTTGTTAATCATAATTTCATGTTTGTTTAAGTTCAAAAGGAATAAAATATTTTTGGAGTCTTTAACTTTAAAGCCATGGAACAAAGATTAAAAAAAAACAACTATCAGACCCTAAATTGTACCCTAAGTTGGGGTCTCTTCAGAAACCCTCACTCACTGCCTAGGAATGTGGGAAATGGACGACAAGAATATATTGTCCTCCCGTTCCACCCAACTCACAGTATTTTCTCAGAAATGTGCTAGAATGGCCTAGTTCTACCTATTACGGTGACAAAAGATAAATGAAAATTTTCCAAAGCCAGATGGAATTGTGCTCTGATAGGGTAACTCTAGAGCTGACACTGGTATCTCAGGGTTACTAGTCTGAATTAAGTCAGAAATGCCACGAAATTTAGGGGCTGGGGAAGCTGCATCATGATGTTGCAAAAATATATCCTCTCACTTTATATATTTAGTGCTTTTTTAATGAGAGTGCACCAGGACTTTGTAGAACTTAAATAAAAATTGCAAAATGTATGTTAACAATAAAATATATGAAAAGGTCAAAATATACTTAAAAAGAAAATAGAAAATTGATACCATTGAATATAAAAACTGGACATATAACTTTGTTCAGGAAACAAATAGATCAGAGGAAGTAAATAGAAAATACAGAAAATGACTCATGGATACATAAAGGCATAAACAATGATTCAGGTCACATTTCTAGTTATAGTCAGTGCTTACACAACACGTGCTTTTACAAAAAGGCCTTCATTCCTATGCAATTGACATATTACAGAACAATTTGAGTATAATGCAAATTTCCTGATTGCTTATGTGCTATTTCTTTCCAGAGAAGCATTAAATGAATGCAGCAAACTGCACCACACAGAACAGTCTCATAGAAATACAGAAAACATATTCACGCATTTCAATTTTTAGATACCTTAGTTCATGTGTGCTATGAGCCACACCCATCCACATTAAATATTAGAACTTTCCATATGATTCCAGAGACACCCCTCCCATCACTTCACAATAACACATAAGCTGCAATCATTCCTACACTCACCTCCAGAAAATTCAACTCTTTTCTAAGTAATGTATCGTATCAATTGTAGAATTCATGTTTGTGAACCATTTAACATGGATAAAACTATGCCACTGTGTTTCATTGTGTTCCTACATTTTTGTTTTCTCTGTGTCGCTAATTAGGTTTTTTAGTATATTTCTTTCAACCCCATTTTTCTAATAAGACCCATGACTTTTATTGGGCCATTTTTGCATAGCATAATGATTTTTAGAAATGCATACGTTGCATTATAGCAGAACTGACTGACATGGTTCAGGAAATTGGTCATTGTTTCCAAAAAGTTAGATGTCTAAATAATGCTGTAGGTACGGCTATTTGAGGGGAATAAGCATAATTAAAGTATTAAATAAAAAAAAAACATGAAAAGTAAAAAAAATAGACAAAATAAAACAAAAACAATCAGATGATATGACAATACTTGTTAACTCTGAGGTAGGAAAACAAAACTAACAAAAAGCAGACACACATGTGAATACACGTATACACACACACACAAACACAAATTACTTCCTAAGAACGACACAAAACTCAGAAAGTGTAAAAGTAAAGACTGACAAAATTAACAACCTAAAAATTAAATTCTTACATATGGCACACTGCTCCATAACTTAAATTATAATACAAGAGATAAGCTGAAATGAATTAATTATAATAAATGATTAATGTGATGTAAAATCATTCAATTTTAAGTCGAGCAAAGGTTGAAATGGTTATATCCCCAAAATGAATATAAATAGTTAATAAACACATGATAAAGTGTTTATATTAATAGAAGACAGAAATGGAAATCTCTGTACATTAGTAATCAGGCCCAAAACAAATTAAGCAATACAATGTTTTTTTAAACCATCAAATGAACAAATATTAAATGATTTTTTATTAACTACTTTTATAAATGTCCAGGGATATGGGAACTCTGTAAATCATTAGCTTAACTACTATTTTTAACCAATTTTAGGTAGAAATTTGTTAGTGACAAAGAAATTCTGTAATTATGAATTTATCATATAGATGTAGCATATGTGCATAAATACATAGACACAAGGTTTATCTTTCATCGTTGCTTATAATGGCAACAGTTGTAGAAGGGGGTGTTTCATTAGATTAGTCTATATCCATACTCTGGAATACTATGTTTAGAAATACAATGAATTAAATCTGTGTGTACTGATAATAGAAACCCCTCCAAAATGTATTTATTATTAAAGGGAAACAAAACATATGAAATTCAAATAGTGACACCTGATTTTTTGGGACAAAACTAAAACAAATAAACATTGTTTATGTATACCTAGTGTGGCAGGTAGAATGATGGTTCCCCAAAGATGCTCATGACTTAATCCCTGGAATCTGTTATTATATTATTTTACATAGTAAACAAGAATTAAGGCCATAGACACAATTGAGATTGCTAATTAAATAAATCTGAAATCTAGGAATTATTCTAGATAATCCTGTGTGCCTAATCTAGTCACTGGAATCCTTAAAAGTGGAAGAATGGTCTTTCTCTGTTTTTGTTTGTTTAACTGGAGAAGATGGTTGTGTGAGAAAAATTAGACCCACTAATTCTGGGTTCGAAGATAGAAGAAGGGGGCCATGAGTCACGATATGCAAGCAGATGCCAGAAGGTGAAAAAGGCAAGAAAACAGATTATCCCCTGTACTCTCCAGAACAGAATCAGCCCTGCTGACATATTTATTTTAGCCAGTGAGACCCATGTCTGAACTCTGATGTACAGGACTGTAAGATAGTAAATATGTTGCTTCAGCCACCAAGGTTGTGGTAGTTTGTTTTAACAACAATGCTTCTGAAAACAGACAATTGCCCAAAACAATATACCAAAAGGACTGTTAATTGTTGTGTTCTATGGGAGTTGAAATAATACTGGGAGAAGTATTAAGGGGACTGCCACTTATTTATTACTTGCAAAACAAAGATAATAATAAGTAAGAAAAGAAATAGAAAACATTATAATTTGATATCAAATGAACGAATAGAGTTATTAACATAACTAATGTGTACTTGAAAATAGAATGATATAATATGAAGTAAATATTGCGCTTGTTCATACAAGAATTTTCCTAGCAGCTTAGTGTTTTTGGCCATTAAGAAACAATAGGTGAAGGCAACAAATTGAAGAGGAATATAGCAACAGTCTTAATGTCCTCATTGTTATTCCTATTGTCTTGTAAAACCACCTGATTTTGAAATATTTATTACATGATGCTTTCTTGACTTTGTGAATTCTTTTCCCATCTAGCAACTTACAATATATGTATTTCTTTTTCTTATTCCAATAATAACCTTGAACATACTGAATGAACCCATATTTCTTATTTCATCAACTTCATAATCAAGTACTTATTCTTGCAATGAAACATGAGAAAATACAGTTAATTCCTACCTCTCTCACACACCCTAAGACAATTTTGATTTTGCTGACACGTTCTGGGATCCTCAGGAGACTAGAGCCTTGTCTTTTTCATCCTTTTAACTTTTTATTTTATTTTATTTTTTTTTTTTTATTTATTTTTTAATTTTTTTGACAGGGTTTCACTCTGTCTTCCAGGCTGGAATGCACTGGCGTGATCTCAGCTCACTGCAACCTCCCCATCCGGAGTTCAAGCGATTCTCCCGCCTCAACCTCCCAAGTAGCTGGCATTACAGGTGTGTACCACCACACCCAGCTAATCTTTGTATTTTTAGTAGAGACTAGGTTTCACCATGTTGGCCAGGCTTCTCTCGAACTCCTGGCCTCAAGTGATCCACCTGTCTCAGCTACCCAAATTGCTGGGATTACAGGCATGAGCCACCATGCCTGGCCCCTTTCAACTATTCTAACTGTTCCCAAAACATTGGACAAATTTTGGTTTTGACTTCATGCCATTCTAGTCCATGGAACCTTTTAATTACTCTCTGCTTTTCTTTTCCATCTTTGAAATAAAAATACATTTATTCTAATTCTCTTTCTCTCTGTCTCTCTCCTGGAAAAATTATTGTAAGATGGAAGCACTTTTAAACAACACAAGAAAATGAAAAGAACAGGACTAGTCATATTTTCCATATTATTATTAAATACTAAAATTAATCATTCTTTAATTTCTAGAGCTTCATTTTCTCCAAACAGTCTAGAGACTACAAAGATAACAGGTTTGTCTTTTATATCCCTGTGACTTCTCACCTACGTGCAAGTCAAAATACTGTTCTTAAATCAAGAGTGGTTTTTCTTCTTAAAGTTATCCAAAGTCACTTTCTGGAGTTCTTTAAAACTCCGAGATGTGAGAAAAATAAAACTTCATGTGTTAAAATTCTATAGAGCATTCTCACTAAAATGGATTTCTATAAACTCTGTTCAAGTTGTCAACAACAAACTGCAGTGTGCTTATTCTTTATTGATTATGGTGGAACATTTGTATCCCTTGAACTGGCAAAACAACATCAGTTTTCAAGAACATTTAATTGTATTATAACCTGTTTAATTGTTAAAAGAAATTATTGATGCAGACATTTTGCATAGTGTTACATTATTTTGTTTATTTTTAGTTTATTAATCGTGTTTGTAGAACTTCTCCTAGATCCACAAGCCATCTGAGAATATTGTTTCCTTCCACCTTTACCTTGTCACTTTTTAAATATTATCTTCTGAGTTTAAGAATGAAATTTGAGGTTTTATTATAGAAAAATGTAAATATAGTTATAATTTTGTCTGCCTCAGAAACTAACCCAGATTGCCAAGGTAAAGGAGAAATAGAAAGTCAATTTAGTTTTACATAAATCTAATATACATCTGTAACCAAAACAGGACAAAAGGCTGCTGAGAAACAAAGATCAATGTAGAATATGAGAAGATAAGTCCAGCTACAAACAAACAAACAAACAAAAACAAAAACCAGTTCACCAAAATAGAGGATTTATCTGAAAGGGAGAGAAAAATAATCATTTTTGCAGTTAAAGAGTAAAGAGTAAAGGAGGAAATACCCAGCCATTCACTTCCAACCACAATGTCTACAGTTAATTTTAATGTCTGTTGAACCATTTTAGGTTGGAATGTACTGAAAACAGATGGCTTGTTTCTTTTGTTTCACAAGTCCAAAGGTGACAAAAAATTGTGTCTCAGGAGTTAGACTTAATAGATTAAAGCTAGAAGACTCATGGAGCCAGGATGTAATTTAGATAATGAAGTTTTCATCTTTGAGCTGATGCTATAATGTGATGAGAATATTATTGGTCTGCCATTCAAAGAAACAGAACTAATAGGAGATAGATAGACAGGTATATGGATAGGTAGATAGATGATGATAGATAGATAATTATGGCAATGAATTGGCTTCTTCGACTGTGGGGGCTGTCTAGACAAATCCACAATCCATAGGGCTGGATGGAACCCTCAGGCGCCAGCTGAAACTGCAGTGCACAGTCCGAATTTCTTCCTCAAGGAAACCTCAGTTTTGCTTTTAAGGTCTGTCAACTAGTTGAATCAGGCCCACCTAGATTATCTACAATAATCTCTTTTACTTAAAGTCAACTAATGTTAGACATTATTCCCATCTACAAAAAGCCCTCAGCCAATACTTGTATTAGTGTTTTATTAACTGGGGACTAATAGCTTGCACAAATTGACTCATAAAGCTAACCATCACACTTGTGAATCTTGGTAGGAAGTTAATACTGTTTGCATGAGAAAGGGACTTGAATCATTGGGAGCCAGAAGGCATACTGTGGTACACAAATCCTAAGGTGATCTTTACACTCCTGGCCTTCTGGTATTCATATTATTTCATAATCTCCTCTCTTGAGTGTGGGGAAGATCCTTTATCGGCTTCTAACCAATAGAATATGGTCAAAATGAGGGAATGTCACTCCTATAATGACATTATATAAGACTGACATCATCCAATTTTCAAATATTGGCAAATATGATGGGAGGAAGCTGGCATCTTGTTACTCCTTTAAATTTTATTTCTCATTTCCCTAATGATTTGAGATATCTGCATACCTATATTATCATTTAGTGTTTCACCTTTGGGAGTTACCTACGCATATTCTTTGCATTTGTACTGTTTTCTGGAAGATTCATGAGTTTCTCTAATCATCTTGATTTTGGTTTTTCTTTGTTTTATATATTACAAATAACATTTACAAGCTGTCAACATCTGCTGATTTTTATTTAGACATACTTCTTTGCACAGAAATCTATAATTTTAGTGAAATCAAATTAATTGTTCGTATTTATTTGCTAGCTAGTTTATTTATTTATTTATTTTGCCTTCTCCTGGAGCCCTATTAAAAATTTTAATGGCACTAGGTCACATAGATTCTAAATAGTTACATAGCACATACTAATAATTACAAAATTTTACCTTTCAAATATAAATCTTTAATATATCTGGACTTCTCATCTATATATCTCCTAAAAAATTTTAAGTTGTCATCTAGTTTTATTTTTTTCCATATGAAAGAGTACTCTAACACCAGCTACAAAATATTACACTGTTTATCTATTTTAAGTCATCTACAAAAAAAAAGAGTTTGTTCTCTGAGTTATCAATTTTATTTCCTTGGTCATTTTTTTTCATTCTTTGTTCACATCTGTTACTAGGCTTTTATTGTATCTCTTTTTTTTTATTATACTTTAAGTTTTACGGTACATGTGCACAATGTGCAGGTTTGTCACATATGTATACATGTGCCATGTTGGCGTGCTGCACCCATTAACTCATCATTTACATTAGGTATATCTCCTAATGCTATCCCTCCCGCCTCCCCCCACCACACAACAGGCTCGGGTGGGTGATATTCCCCTTCCTGTGTCCAAGTGTTCTCGTTGTTCAATTCCCACCTATGAGCGAGAACACGCGGTATTTGGTTTTTTGTCCTTGCGATAGTTTGCTGAGAATGATGGTTTCCAGCTTCATCCATGTCCCTACAAACGACATGAACTCATCCTTTTTTATGGCTGCATAGTATTCCATGGTGTGTATGTGCCACATTTTCTTAATTCAGTCTACCATTGTTGGACATTTGGGTTGGTTCCAAGTCTTTGCTATTGTGAATAGTGCACAATAAACATATGTGTGTGTGTGTCTTTATAGCAGTATGATTTATAATCCTTTGGGTATATACCCAGTAATGGGATGGCTGGGTCAAATGGTATTTCCAGTTCTAGATGCCTGAGGGATCGCCACACTGATTTCCACAATGGTTGAACTAGTTTACAGTCCCACCAACAGTGTAAAAGTGTTCCTATTTCTCCACATCCTCTCCTGCACCTGTGGTTTCCTGACTTTTTAATGATCGGCATTCTAACTGGTGTGAGATGGTATCTCATTGTGGTTTTGATTTGCATTTCTCTGATGGCCAGTGATGATGAGCATTTTTTCATGTGTCTTTTGGCTGCATAAATGTCTTCTTTTGAGAATTGTCTGTTCATATCCTTCACCCATTTTTTGATGGGGTTGTTTGTTTTTTTCTTGTAAATTTGTTTGACTTCTTTGTAGATTCTGGATATTAGCCCTTTGTCAGATGAGTAGATAGCAAAAAGTTTCTCCCATTTTGTAGGTTGCCTGTTCACTCTTATGGTAGTTTCTTTTGCTATGCAGAAGCTCTTCAGTTTAATTAGATCCCAATTGTCAATTTTGGCTTTTGTTGCCATTGCTTTTGGTGTTTTAGACATGAAGTCCTTGCCCATGCCTATGTCCTGAATGGTATTGCCTAGGTTTTCTTCACATCTACAACTATCTGATCTTTGACAAACCTGACAAAAACAAGAAATGGGGAAAAGATTCCCTATTTAATAAATGGTGCTGGGAAAACTGGCTAGCCATATGTAGAAAGCTGAAACTGGACCCTTTCCTTACACCTTATACAAAAATTAATTCAAGATGGATTAAAGACTTAAATGTTAGATTTATTGTATCTCTTTAAAACCAAAGCACATGCCTCTCTCCCAACTTTTCTCTTTGAAAAGTTGATTCAGTTTCTTATAGATCACTATTATTCCATTGGAATTTAAAAATTGTCTTGTAACTTCTAGTTCTGGTTATTTTAGTATAGGCTTATTTTAAGCAGCTGATTCAAATTTGGTCATAGTCATGCATTATTTTTAATGTTTTATGTTTATCTCACATCAATATTAATATATGAGCATATGATCTGATAAGAGATGGGTTGGTATTGTAGAATTTATTTGATTGAATATAAGATTTCTAATTTACTGGCAAAATGATTGATACTAGTCTTAGCAGACATCTGTGGCTGCATTTCCATCCTATTCATCATAGTCACTTGTTTTTATTACTTCTTGGACTTCACAAGCACGTGCACTTGCACATGTGCAAACACAGCAGTGCTAGAGTTCTCTGAAAATATTGGCAAAGACTGTTTTAGGACTTGTTTGCCAGGAACTCTAGGCATTTTAATGGCTTTCTAATGGCTTCCAAACTGTTCACATAACAGTCTTTTCAAGTTGTAAATAATATACATTTAAAATTCACGTCTGTGCATGGTATTGGCCTAGGAGTTTTTTATGTTTTATTTTTAGCACATTACTCAATGTTGTCAATATTGATCCATAGCACTGGCCATTATATTTCTATTTAAATATACTGTTTTACTGCTAAGCTTCATTTCTAGACATTGGTATCTATAATAAGAAAGCTATCAGATTGTAATGAAAATGGCCCAGAGCCACCTAGTTCCTAAGCACTCTTCCCATTCTGTGATGGGGTCTGCTCTATTTCTTTCACATTGTACATATTTAGTACATCTTTCAGACCCCCCATTTTCCTGTGCCTTTTACTTTATCATAAAATACAAATTCCATACTGTTATGAATTAATTCCTATCTCCGTGAATTGTTGAATGTTCATTATCTATCGGCTATTGTTCAGAGTTTGTGGTATAAGGTTGGGCTGTTCTTTGACTTCACAGTGAATGAAATGCTCTTGTCTAATGAGCTGTGTGCATATACTCCTATCTTTCCAGGAGATCAACTGTCAAATAGTTGTTATAGGATTCCATGTGTTTGGTTTCTTCCTCTATAGGTCTCTGCATTAGAAACCTTACTGCTTACCTTACCTACAGAGTTGAACTTCCTGTGTACCGCTTTGCAGCTCTGTGACTCTCCTTAATAAAAGTGCAGTTTGTTTTCTGTGGTTTTAAACAAAATACACATTTTCTCCTAAACCTGAATAAAGTTATTTTTTAAGTGCCTTTTGCAAAAAGAGACCATTTCTCACTGGGATCTGTACTAGAACTCATTCCTCCAATTTTATACTACCATTAAATATGCATATAATTATCTTTCTGCCCAAAGTAGATAATATAGTATTTTTTCTAAAAATATGCTGAATTCTCCTTTATGCTGCATCAGTTTTTTGCCTAATCCATACTTCTTGTTTATAACATTTCTAAAATTATGCAGAAAAAAAGAGCTTTTAACAAATTTGAAAGGCTTACAGTAGTATGACAATATTTATGAAATAAATTTCTAAGTGTTTTTTCTCAGTAAACTATCACAAGGACAAAAAAGCAAACACCGCATGTTCTCACTCATAGGTGGGAATTGAACAATGAGAACACATGGACACAGGAAGGGGAACATCACACACCGGGGCCTGTTGTGGGGTGGGGGGAGGGGGGAGGGATAGCATTAGGAGATATACCTAATGCTAAATGACGAGTTAATGGGTGCAGCACACCAGCATGGTACATGTATACATATGTAACTAACCTGCACATTGTGCACATGTACCCTAAAACTTAAAGTATAATAATAAAACTTAAAAAAGAAATAAATTTCTAAGTGTTTCTAATTCACTAACAGTACATGATGATTATTATTTTGTTGTTGTTATTTATTAAATCACTGTAGTTTTAGAGAACCAGTGTAAACAAACAAACAAACAAAATCAGTGATAAGACAGACTTTAAATAAAATTGAATGTACTTTAGAACATAACATTAACAGATAACATTAATTGAGGACCTCCTATCTGCCAGGCTCAATTATAAATCCTCTGTAGGGGTTGGCTCATTTAGCTCTCAGAACAACCGGGTGAAGTAAGTAGTGCTGATACCTCCATTTTACAAATGAAGTAACTGAGGCATTGAGAAAGAAGTAACTTCTCCAACACTATCCATCTAGTAAGTGATGGGAAAAATATTTAAATGCAGAATATTTAAACCCAGGTTTTAGCACAAAGTCATTACTTTCAGGGTGTTTGTAACGTTGAGGCAAAATAAAATCATGGTACTTTCACTGTAAACGTTAAATAATTAGTGCTCCGTGGATGTACACAATAGGCTTGTGCCTCTATAAAGATGCAGGTCATTCCTTTGTCCCTGCTTATTTATTATATTCAGTGTTTCAACTTTAGGTGCCTCGCATAGTATAGATATTTTCAGTCTAACATGCATATTCCAATTATCTTGTAGCTAGTCAGTAAAATAAAACTAATTTGAGAATACTCCACCTAATTAGCAGTTTTTGTCCTGGTGCCATAAACAGCAAGTGATAGTGCCATTGATTCTAAACTATAAATACTGAAAACTGTGATTATCTACCAAGCAGTAATATATATTTAATATATATGTAAATGAACGCTGAGTAAACCATGCTGTGTTGAGCTTGTTTCTCTCCCTGATGTTCAGTAGCGCTGGCTCTGATTAAAACCATCCCTGGGGCCAGGCACGGTGGCTCATGCCTGTAATCCCAGCACTTCCAGAGGCCGAGGTGAGCGGATCACCTGAGGTCAGGAGTTCGGGACCAGCCTGGCCAACATGGTGAAACCCCGTCTCTACAAAAAAAATACAAAAATTAGTCGGGCATGGTGGCGGGCGCCTGTAATCCCAGCTACTCAGGAAGCTGAGGCAGGAGAATTGCTTGAACCTGAGAGGTGGAGGTTGCAGTGAGCTGGTATCGCACCACTGCACTCCAGCCTGGGCAACAAGAGCGAAACGCCATCCCAAAAAACATAAAAACAGAAACAAAACAAAAGAAAACATCCCTGGGATGCTTAACTTGCCCGATTCTCACTCACTACTAATTCTGCTCACTAATAATCTCTACTAAATGTTCTCAAGAATTAATACAAGCATTCACAGACATCAAAGGTGTAGGAAGGCTGCCTCATCTAAATATATTGTATCTCTCTCACTGTTAGGAAACAAAGGAAAGTTAAAAAAAAAAAGACTGCATTGTTTTAAACTGTAGAATTTCTCCATATGTAGTCACTAAATCATACTGTAGCACATTGTTATTTGTACAAGGATTATTTATATCTGTGTTTCTAAACTAAATTTATAGTATAAGATCGTTTTAAAAGGTCATCTTCCTAATTCACTTAAAAAATTTCAGTTCAGTAGGATAGGAATAGATCCATGAACGTGGCATGTTTCTGAGCATCCTTTACCTGCTGCTATGTATCTAAATCACTGTCTACATTATCTTCTTTTACAGAGGACGAACAGATTTACAATCTCAAATTTATTTCCCAGGCTAAGGAAGCCAATTAAATATTTCTTTGTTAAATACCCACAGTTAAATAATTATATTTTTATACTGTAAAATACCCTTTATATAGTATTATTTTCTTCTTTATTTTCTCCATTTCTGATGTGGGGAAACCCTTTTAAGTAGGCGCTTTCACTTATTCAAATGCACCTTCAGTTGAGAGATTTACTGTACTCAGCCATTTCTTAAAGTCACTAATTTTCTAGAACACTGGGCCTGAAAAATAAGTACTATACTCTATAAATCTATGCTTTTGTGTGCTGGAGAATGTAATTAATTAAATTTGCCAAAACAATTTTGTCTGAATCTGTGTACTGATGGCCAGATAAATACATTCTCTATAAAAGGTCGATTATAATTTTAGTTCTACTGCCCAGAATTTTCCAGATGTATCAGGATAACTTTTGGCTAATGGCCCTAATGTTGGAAAGGGAATTTTTAACTTCCTATTGATGTATATTTTATATACCTTTTACAATGAAAAAAAAAGAGATAAATTATATGTACCCCACCCCCAGCTCATAGTAGAGAGTCAAGCACAGAACAAGTATCTGCTTTAAAGAGACTGAATGACTTACTAGATAAATCAATGCACGAAATGTCTGTACAGTCACTATAAGTGTGTTATTTGTTGTGAAAAGGAAACTGTGCTATGAGAGAAAGTGAGGCTCTTAGTATAAAACTCTCAGAGATGGAATTACTGTGTTTTAAAGACAAATAACGTTTCATATACATGAAATACTCATTGATGTCCCAGAACAGAGTGAATTATTTGCAACCATGTCATGTCTATCTTTTAGAGGTGTAAGTGATTTGTTTTGGCTATCTAGATTTGTTATTGAGTAGTGCTTGTCAATCCATTTACTAGATACGCAGGTGCTGAAAAGCTTTATCATGTAGCTAAATGTTATATCAGAATGTTATATTTACAGGTAAAAGTAATCTATTCTGAAAAGTCTGATAATTGTAAATGACACGTGAAGATTATGGGATTACAATTCAAGATGAAATTTGGGTGGGGACACAAAGTCAAATGATATTGTAAATCACCATTGTAAAAAATTTGTCAGGATCCTAAATGAAAGGACATAAATAAAATAAATTAGATAAAATTGTTCTTTTTATTTCATGCTTAAGTAAATAGGATATAAGATAATTTTAAAAATTAATACACTTGAATGTATTTATTATAAGAAAGCCAGCATTAACATGTTTAGTGATCTTATTTTTTACTTGTTTTCATAAATATAAATATATGTGCATTATTGTGCATAAGATTCTGCTGTAATGCTATTTTAAAATCATAGGTATATTTGTTCTTTTAAAGGTATTTTGTTTATTTTTAAAATACCATTTTCTTTTTATCTACCAAGAAACTAACAGTAAGAATATGATGCACGTTTTTCTATACTTTTTCAGATTTGCGCATATATCAACACATATACAAACTGATTCTGCTGTCACTTATTTTACAAAATTAGATTATATTAAAAATGTGTTTCTACATCTTGCTTTCTTCCAGTAAATATTATGTTTGGAAACTCTTCTAAGTCTGTTGATATATATTATATTTATTCATTTCTGTAGCAACATAACAGATGGAGAAGGAGACTATGTATAGTCATTCCCCTATGATGGGCATTTGATATCTTCAAAGATATTAAAAAAATGAAAAAGAATGTAAACTTATTTCAAAGTGAGGTAAGATCACTGGATTAAATTATGAATTATTTAGAATCAATCTGATGACTAGCACCTTCAGAACACGGACATAACTCAGAGATATTGAAGGTTCTGTTCCAGATCACCACAATAAAATGAATGTTGCAATAAAGTGATATCACAAAATGTCACACTACATTTTTGGATTTCAAGTACATTTAAAAGTTATGTTTACACTATGCTGGAGTCTATTAAATGTGCAACCGCATGAAGTCTAAAAAGTCTAAAAATATATATATATACTTTAATTTAAAATATTGTAAAAAAAAAGTCTAACAATCATCTGAACCTCCAACAAATGTTAATTTTAATGCTGGTTGAGATTCTTGTCTTGATGTTGTTGACTACTGACTCATCAGCACGATGATTGCTGAAGGTTGGAGTACCTGTGACAATTTCTTAAAATAAGACAACAATGAAATTTGCCACATCAATTGACTTTTCCTTTCATGAAATGTTTATCTATAGCATGCAATGTGTTTGATAGCATTTACCCACAGCAGAACTTCTTTCAGAACTGGAGTCCATCCTCTGGAAACCTGCCACTGCTTCTAAATCATTTGTTGTCATTTCAACAATTTTCACTGCATCTTGTTCAGAAGTAGATTCCATCTCAAGAAACAACTTTCTTTGTTCATCCGTAAGACGCGACTCCTCATCTGTTCATGTTTGATCATGAGATAGCACCAATTCAGTCACATTCTTCAGGCTCAACTTTTAATTCTAGCTCTCTTACTATTTTAACTATATCTGTAGTTACTGCCTTCACTGAGGTCTTAATCCCTTCAGCCATTCATGAGAATTGAAATCAACTTCTTCCAAACCTCTGTTGATGTTGATATTTTGACCTCCTCCCATGAATCAGAAATGTTTTAATGGCATCTAGAATGGTGGTTCTTTTCTAGAAGGTATTCAATTTACTTTTCCCAGATCCATTAGAGGAATCACTATCTATGGCAGCTATAGCCTTACAAAATGTATTTCTTAAATAATAAGGCTTAAAGGTCAAAATTAATCCTTGATCCATGAGCTGAAAAATTGATGTTGTGTCAATAGTGTTGGAAACATGAATTCCCTTATACATCTCTATCAGAGTTCTTATCAAAAAGCAGTAATATTTTGAAAGGAATCTTTCTTTTTTTTTCTCACAAGTAGGTCTCAGCAGTAGGCTTAAAATATTCAGTAAATCATTCTCTAAATAGATGTGCTATCATCTAGACTTTGCTGCTCCATTTGTGGAGCATAGAGTAGATTTAGCATAACTATTTTTAAGTGTGCTTTTTATTATCTTTTTTATTTCAATAGTTTTTGGCGTTCAGGTGGCTTTTAGTTACATGGATATACAGGGGTACCTCCATGGTACAGGTGGATTTTAGTTACATGAATGTACAGGGGTACAACCTTTTGGGGTACAGGTGACTTTTAGTTACATGGAGGAGTTCTTCAGTGGTGAATTCTGAGATTTTAGTGCACCCATCACCCAAGCAGTATACACTTACCCAACATGTAGTCTTTTATCTCCCGCCCCTCTCCCACCCTCTCCGTAAAGTCCCCAAAGTCCATTATGTCACTCAGTATGTTTTTACACCCTCATAGCTTAGCTTTCACTTATAAGTGAAAACAGTATATACAGTATTTGGTTTTCCATTCCTGAGTTACTTCACTTAGAATAATGGCCTCCAGCTCATCCTAGCTGCTGCAAAGGATACTATTTTTTTCCTTTTTATGGCTCAGTAGTATTCCAAGTATATATACAACACATTTTCTTTATCCACTTGTTGGCCAATAGGTACTTAGTTTTGTTCCATATCTTTGCAATTGCAAATTGTGCTGCTGTAAACATGCATGTGTATGTTGCTTTTTTACATAATGACTTTTTTGGGGGTAGATACCTAGGACTGGGATTGCTGGATCAAATGGTAGACCTACTTTTAGGTATTTAAGGTCTTAGATTTAAGTCTTTGATTCAAGTTGAGTTGATTTTTTTATAAGGTGAGAGATGAGGATCCAGTTTCATTCTTCTACATGTAGTTTTCCAGTTTCCCCAGCACAATTTATTGAATAGACTGTCTTTTCCCCAATTTACGTTTTTGTATGCTTTATAGAAGATTTTGTGGCTGTATTAGGCTTTATTTATGGGTTCTCTATTATGTTCCATTGGTCTATGTGCCTGTTTTTATATGAGTACCATGATGTTTTGGTAACCATAGCCTGGTAGTATAATTTGAAGTCAGTTTTGACTAAAATTCAACATAATTATTAAGAGCCCTATAAATTTTTGAATGGTAAATGAGCATTAGTTTCAACTTAAAGTCATCAGTTGAATTAGACCTTACCAAGAGAGTCAGCCTGTTGTTGAAGCTTTGAATCAGGCATTGACTTATCCTTTCTAGTGATGAAAGTCCTAAGTGGCATCTCCCTCCAATATAAGACTGTTTCATCTATATTGAAAATCTGCTCTTGAGTGTAGCCACCTTTACCCATTATTTTAGCTAGTTCTTCTGGATAACTTGCTGTAGCTTCTCCAACAGCACGCTGCTTCTGCTTGCACTTTTATGTTTTGGAGACAGCTCTTTACCATAAACCTCATGAACAAACCTCTGCTGGCTTTCAACTTTTCTTCTGCAGCTTCCTCACTTTTGTTAAGCCTTCACTGAATTGAAAGGGGGCGGGCTTAGAGCCTTGCTCTGGATTACGTTTTGGCTTAACGGAATGCTGTGGCTGGTTTGATCCTCTATCTAGACCACTAAAACTTTCCCCCATAAGCAATAAGGCTGTTACTCTTTCTTGTCATTCATATATTCATGAAGTGGAACTTCTAATTTCCTCCAAGAACATTTCCTTTGCATTCATAGCTTAGCTAACTCTTGGTGCAAGAGGCCTAGCTTTCAGCCTATCTCAGGTGCTGACATGCTTTCCTCACTAAACTTAATCATTTCTACCTTTTGATTTAAAGTGAGTGAGTCTGACTTTCACTTGAACACTTAGAGATTATTGTAAGGTTATTAATTGACCTGATTTCAATATTTTTGTGTCTCAGGTAACAGGGTAGCCTGAGGTGAGGACAAGAGATGGTTGAATGGCTGGTGAGTGGAGCAGTCAGAACACACACATTTATTAATTAAGTTTACCATCTTAGAAAGATGCAGTTCCTGGCACCCCCCAAAATTACAATAATAACATCAAAGATCACTGATCACAGATCATCGTAACAGATATGATAATACTAAAAAAGTATGAAATATTGCAAGAATTAACAACATGTGACACAAAGTGAGCACATGCTATTAGAAAAATGGCACTTATTGACTTGCTAGGTGCAGGCTTCCACAAATCTTCAATTTGTAAATACTGCAATATCTATGAAGCACAATAAAATGAAGCTCAATAAAATAAAGTATGCCTGTACTCAAAAGACCTTTCATAATTATCATGTTTTTGTTTATTTATAAGCAATATTTATATTTATAAGCAATATTCCTTTTTTATAACTCTAATTTATTTGTATATAAACCCTTATTTATATATAAATATTCCTTATTTGTGAATATTTATAAGCAATATTCCTTATTTAAAATTTTTTTTGTAGCTAAAGGCATTACATTTTTTTGAATAAAGGACCAGTGATTTCATTCTTCCTAGCAAGAATGCATGTATTTCTGGGTCAGCTCTTTGATATAAGTACCATAGAGTTCAGAGTAATCATTAACTTTGTATTTTTGGATTTCAAATATAATATCGAAATAGATAAAAGGTAAATTAATATGAAAATTTATGCTATCGAATATATTTTATTTTTCTTAAATTCATTTATAGTAACACCTGTTATTAATAGACATTGTTCAGATAGTAAATAATACGATAAGGAGTGAGGAGAGGAAAAAGAAGAGAAAGAAGAGGATAGCAAGAAAAAAAAGGAGGAGAAGAGCAAAAGTAATAAATGTAATGTGGCTGATGAATTAATTCTCCTGACTGTAGAGGCCATCGTATAACAGAAATTGTAAGTTATTCCAACAAATTGATATCACTAAAGCTTTAACTAGAAGGTCTGTTAACAAAAAACATTAGAGGGAGTCTTATTTTAATTAGCCAAAAATAATTGCCAATGGAAGAACTAATGTCACTTTTGCTGCACTTGAATCATCTAAACTCTCAAGTTAATTTAGCTGACTCAGTAAAAATGCAGTCAGAGTTACTACTTGACATCTTCTACATGAAATAATACTTTGAATTTTAGCCTTTAATAAACTGCTTTTGACATTGTATGACATTCACTAGCCAGCAATTACTGGAAAAATGTCTTTTTAGGTTGGGCCTCTGCAACAAGAAAGTTTTGAAGAAAGGTTTGATGAGAAAAGAGTAAACTTTCACTAATTCAAAGATAAGGAGCACTGAGCTACCTTCCTGAAGTATGAGATGTATAGCTAGTAGAACAGAGAAGTTTGCTTTTCATTGTGAACATCCATCCCTTGTCAACCTCTATATTTACTGGACTTAATCTTCTTCCTATGAAAACTGCAATGCAGCATTAGGAACCTGCTGCTGTAGCAATTCCTGAAAATGTATAAAAATAGGATGTAAAATGATATGTGCTGGGCTGCTAGGACATGTTAAAGTTGGTTAGAAAAAATGAGACCAGAGATAGAAAGTTCTGTTGATTTTGAAGACAAGGGATACTTTAAAGTAGAAAATACAGAAACAGGTAAAGCAATACTGTGACCTTCCCACAAAGCTACCTTAAACACTCTCCCAGCAGGCAGCAGACAGTGGGTTCTTTTCTGGGGGGTGGGGGTGGATTTTTATATTATTTTTAGAAAAATAAGCTTATTTAGCTTATGATTGTAAAGACTGGGAAGTCCAAGAGCATAGGCCTGGCATCTAGGAAGAGCCTTCATGCTGATTCATAACATGGTAGAGGACATCATGTGGTGAGAGGGCAAGAGCATGCCAACTCAGGACACTTCCTGTTATATTATTGCCAGGAAAATTTATTAACTTTAGTATTCATAGTTGTTACAACTTGCACATAAATTCTTTCATCTGTAAAACTCAGGAATTCTGTTAACGATTTTTTTAGTCTCCTTTTCCTCTCCTCATGTTAATATTGGGTTCTGCTGGACAATTATATATGTATTTGAAGGATTTTAAATCATCAACTTGGATAATTATAGCTCTTAAAAAAATACTAGATTATTTCTCTGATTTTTCTTTCTTTTAGCTTTTATTTAAGGTTCCGGGGTACATGTGCAGGTTTGTTATGTAGGGAAACTGATGTCTTGTGGGTTTCATTTACAGATTATTTCATCTCCCAGGTAGTAAGTGTAGTGTCCAATAGGTATTTTTTCTGATCCTCTCCCTCCTCCCACCCTTCACCCTCAAGTAGGCCCCAGGGTCTGTTGTTCTCCTCTTCATGCCCATGTGTTTTCGCTGCTTTTAGCTCCCTCTTATAAGTGAGAACATGCAATATTTAGCTTTCCGTTCCTGCATTAGTTTGCTTAGGATAATGGCCTCTAGCTCTAACCATGTTTTTGCAAAGGACATAACCTCATTTTGCACAACTGCAACCATCTGATCTTGAACAAAACTGACACACACAAAAAAAGCAATGGGGAAAGATTCTCTATACAATAAATGCTGCTGGGATAACTGGCTAGCCATATGCAGAAGATTGAAACTGGATCCCTTCCTTACACCATATATAAAAATAAACACAAGATTAATTAAAGACTTAAATGTAAAACCTAAAACTATAAAAAACTCTGGAAGATAACAAAGGAAATATCATTCTGGATATAGTAAGTGGCAAATATTTTGTTACAAAGATGTCAAAAGCAATTGCAACAAAAGTAAACATGGACAAATGGGATCTAATTGAACTAAAGAGTTTCTGCACAGCAAAAGACACTATCAACAGATTAAACAACCTAAAGAATGGGAGAAAATATTTAAAAACTATACGTCTGACAAAGGTCTTTAATATCCACAATCCATAAGGAACTGAAACAAATTTGTAAGCAAAACACAAACCCATTAAAATGTGGGTAAAAGACATGAACAGACACTTCTCAAAACAAGACATACATGCAGTCAACAAACATATGAAAAATGCTCAACATCACTAATTATTAGAAAAAATGCAAATTAAAACCACAGTTAGATACCATCTCACATCAGTAAGAATGGCTATTATTAAAAAGTCAAAAAATAATACATTCTGGCAAGGTTGCAGGGAAAAGGGAATGCTTTATACACTGTAGGTGGCAGGGAAAATTAGTTCAGCCATTGTGGAAAGCCTTGTGAGGATTCTTCTAGAACTCTAAATAGTATTACTATTCAACCCAGTGATCCCATTGTTGGGTATATACCTGAAGGAAAATAAATCATTCTATCATAAACCCACATAGACATGTATGCTCATTGTAGCACTATTCATAATAGCAATGACATGGAATCCACCTAAATGCCCATCAACAATGTACTCAATAAAGAAAATGTGGTACATAGACACCATGGAATACTATGCTGCCATAAAAAGGCAATCTTAACATGAACTTCTTACATTGCAACTCCCTTTCACCAGAACAACTTCCAAGATAGTTAGGTGGAAACTGTCATGCCTTTTAAAGGCTAAAAATGATATAACTTCATGGTTTTAGAAATGACCATAACCTCATCTCTTTAAAATTTTGTAGTCAAAGCAGTCACAGACCATCTCAGTTTCAAGGAAGTGGAAGAACAAACTTCATCTTTCAAGTGAGAGAATGGAATGTAGATATTGAGAAGGAAGGCAGCAATAGTGACCATTTTAGAGATAAGCTACCCAAAGTACCAAAGAAGCTGCATTTTAAAAATGCGGAAATGAAAATCGAGGGCTTTATGTAATTTGCTCAAGGTAAAAGTGAGACCTAAAAAGTCTCACTTCAGAGCCCATATGTTTAACCATAATGTCTTCCCATCTCTGTATAAGCAACAGAGGAGTGAACTTTCAAATCAATAAGATAACCTCTAATTTTTTTAAAAAAAACAGAGTATAATCATGGTAATAATTGACAATCATTTAAAATCTATTTATTCCCATATTTATCTATGAAATCACGCTATAATTTTCAACATCTATTTCAAATCCACTTATATAGCTACAGAACTAGGGTAGTGGCAAAGATAATTTGTAATATTTTTATTGAACTTTGAAACAAACAATGACCTATTTTGGGTAGTAGATATTACAATTATTTCTTTTAAACATTATGCACAAATGTCATCTGTTCAGCGGGGTCAAGAAGTGTCTTCCTATAGTAGGAAAGACAGACATATCTAATTTAATTTCAGCATCCTGAAGACCTGTACCTATAAACCACTGGACAACGTATCAACTATCCACTGGATACATCACTTTGTATAGGCCACAGAAACTTCCGTTTCAATATATTAGGTTGGAGCAAAAGTAATTGCGTTTTTTTTTCCATTAAAAGTAATGCAAAACCCGCAATTACTTTTGCACCAGCCTCTGTCTTCAATCTACTTGTTTATTCTCCAAGAATAACACTAGTTCTTCAATTTATAACACTGATCCATTCTTTACCTCTTTCACTAACTTACTTCTACATCTTAAACAACTATGAGTCCTAACTATTTTAAAGTTTTTATTTAAGGTTTGTATTTCATCTCTTACTAGTTCATACCTTAGTGAATCCCTTTATCATATTTTGTGAGAGTCACTGAAAAAGACTTAATTCTTGTCTCTCATTTCTATTCTTGCTGTATTTTAATCTGTTCATATTGTCAGAGTGATAATTCAAAATAGCAAATGTGGTTACTTCACTTCACCTGAATTTCCCATTAAGTTCTCCTGTGCCCCAAGTTGAACTGATCTGACTCTTCAATCCATGGCACCTGTCATCGTCTGTTTGTGCGAAACCATTCATTTTATCTTGTTTCAGTTGTGTTTACTTCACCCTCCATGCTTAATTGCCTCTTCCTCTCAAAACATTAGGTACTCAGTTTTAATATATTTACAGGTTCAATATCCCTAATTAGAAAAACAGAAACCTGAAATGCTCCAAAATCTAAAATTGTTTGAACGCTGAGATGACACTCAAAGGAAATGTTCATTATAGCATTTCAGATTTTGGATTTTTGGATTAGGGATGCTGAAGTGGATATAATGCAAATATTCTAAAATCAGAAAAAATCTGCAATCCCAAACAATTTTAGCCCCAAGCATTTTGGATAAGGGATCCTTAACCTATAATTTATATGTGTCTAATTATTGCTATAAGATTTTACTAAATATGTGACCATTTGCAGATTTTACAAAAGAGAAACAATCTAGGTATTGCTTTATTTCAGAAACTTTCCAGTCAAGTAAAGTTGTGATCTGATAGTTCTGTGAATATTATGTTACAAATCAGGATATTGTTCCTTTTGTTTTGTTTTTACAAACAATTGAGTAAGTTCAATAAACAAGTCTTGTTTTCTTTCCTTAGCAGTAAAGCAATTAAGATATGTCCTCTTTCCCATGAGTGTGAACATGTTGCATTACAAAGCTAGTCAGCATCAGGGGTAGAAAGAAATAGTGACACAGGTTTCACCTGCCATAAAATGAAATGCTCTTTTGGGACAAAATAAAGCTGTAAAATATTGCAATGCAGTACAATGGAATTGTAACAGTGCCAAACTGAACAATACTTGTTTTCCTTCAGCATTTATAGGCTAAAAGTGCATTCAAAAATTCAAAGCAGTGATGTTGGGAATACTTGAAACACATTTAAAATGCAATTATTAGTTTTATACAAATTATTAGTTTATTTTTTAAAATCTTTTTTTTATTATTTTTAAAAGGTTTCTGAGTACACAGTAGGTGTTATGTTTATGGGGTACATAAGATGTTTTGATACAGGTGTGCAATGTGAAATAAGCACATCATGGAGAATGGGGTGCCCATCCCCTCAAGAATTTACCCTTTGACTTATAAATAAACAAATTACACTTTTTAAAGTTATTTAATAAATCATTTCAAAATCTTAGCATAATCTTCTATACATAGCATTTTTGTATACAATATTAAAATAAATTCAAATTACTGTCATTTTGTCCTATTGGGAAAATATTCAGGATAGATTATTTATTCTCTAGCATTGTATTTGCCTTCTTTTCAGTTTTCTGCCTGTGGAAAAATGAATGTTTTTATAGGAAAAAAAGACTGCCTTCAAATATTTATTTGTACACACATAACTAAAGTTTAGAATTAAATCTTCATTTTATAACTTTGATTTTCAAAAGTAGCATTGTAAATACTAATAAATATCAAAATGGAACATTTTAATAAGCCTAAATGTATTATGTTCTTATAAATTCAGGTATGATTTTGTATTAGAATAATTATATTTAGAAGATATTCTTAATAGAAAAGTATATAGTTTGGTTAACTAAGTGATCCTCTCATTCAAAAGGTTAGAATGTCTGAGATCAAGAAATATTGTTTTATTATTAAAACAAAAATACAAAACAAAAACCTGATTACAGGGGTTAAAAATGCTGTGGTGAGAGTAAATAACAAATTGAATCCTGTACAAAATAGATATATTGAATGAGAGTATTAGCACAAGAAATCCTTTCAGAATACAAGTATGAGTCTCAGAAGAAGATGATAAGTGAAAGGTTAGACACAGGGGAATGGGTAAAAGAAATTCAATACAAGTGTAATGGAGATACAAAAATAAGTGCAGAGCAGAAGAATAAGAAACAACAACACAAAAATAATAATGAAAAGTAAAGCCAACCTAATCCCCTGTCCCTACCTGTACCAATACTGAGAACAAACATATTTTCCTGTCCCTAGGTTAAATAATACTTTGAACAGGCATGCTTTCCTGTCTCTGTATTGAATAATCTTATGCCAGGTAAAAATATTTGCTCCAGGAAATAGTTGGTACTGGAAAATATGACTATTAAACACCAGGAATGCACATATCCCAAATCTAAGAGCTAACTCTTCAAGTCTCCTTTCAAAACTCTTATTTTGTGGTATCTAGTTATGAAAAGCTATTGCATCATAAACTCTGCCTAATTCCAACTACTAATAGTTTTCCACCTTTTAAGACCTAACTTAGAGCAGCAGATAACTTGGAACGTGATTACACTTATAATACAATTATACTAATTGTATTAGTCCATTTTCACAGTGCTATAAGGAAGTGTCAGAGACTGCATAACTAAAAAAGGAAAGGGGTTTAATTGACTCACAGTTCAGCATGGCTGAGAAGGCCTCAGGAAACTTAACAATCATGGCAGAAGGTGAAGGAGAAGCAAGGTACCTTCTTCACAAGGTGGCATGAAGGAGAATTAACACAGGAGTAACTATCAAACACTTAATAAACCATCAGATCTTGTAAATTTGGTTGAGTTCTTTGTAGATTCTGGATATTAGCCCTTTGTCAGATGAGTAGATTGCAAAAATTTTTTCCCATTCTGTAAGTTGCCTGTTTACTCTTGTGGTAATTTCTTTTGCTGTGCAGAAGCTCTTTAGTTTAATTAGATCTCATTTGTCAATTTTGGCTTTTGTTGCCATTGCTTTTGGTGTTTCAGACATGAAGTCCTTGTCCATGCCTATGTCCTGAATGGTATTGCCTAGGTTTTCTTCTAGGGTTTTTATGGTTTTAGGTCTAACATGTAAGTCTTTAATCCATCTTGAATTAATTTTTGTATAAGGCATAAGGAAGGGATCCACTTTCAGCTTTCTACATATGGCTAGCCAGTTTTCCCAGCACCACTTATTAAACAGGGAATCTATCAAAAAGTGGGCAAAGGATATGAACAGACACTTCTCAAAAGAAGACATTTATGCAGCCAAAAGACACATGAAAAAATGCTCATCATCACTGGCCATCAGAGAAATGCAAATCAAAACCACAATGAGATACCATCTCACACCAGTTAGAATGCTGATCATTAAAAAGTCAGGAAACACCAGGTGCTGGAGAGGATGTGGAGAAACAGGAACACTTTTACACTGTTGGTGGAACTGTAAAATAGTTCAACCATTGTGGAAGACAGTGTGGCGATTCCTCAAGGATCTGGAACTAGAAATACCATTTGACCTAGCCATCCCATTACTGGCTACATACCCAAAGGATTATAAATCATGCTGCTATAAAGATACATGCACACGTATGTTCATTGTGGCACTATTCACAATAGCAAAGACTTGGAACCAACCCAAATGTCCATCAGTGATAAACTGGATTAAGAAAATGTGGCACATATACACCATGGAATACTATGCAGCCATAAAAAGGATGAGTTCATGTCCTTTGTAGGGACATGGATGAAGCTGGAAACCATCATTCTCAGCAAACTATCGCAAGGACAAAAAACCAAACACTGCATGTTCTCACTCATAGGTGGGAATTGAACAATGAGAACACTTGGTCGCAGGAAGGGGAACATCACCCACCTGGGCCTGCTGTGGGGTGGGGGGAGGGGGGAGGGATAGCATTAGGAGATACACCTAATGTAAATGACGAGTTAATGGTTGCAACACACCAACATGGCACATGTATATATATATGTAACAAACCTGCACGTTGTGCACATGTACCCTAGAACTTAAAGTATAACAAAAATAAATAAATAAATAAATAAATAAACCATCAGATCTTGTGAGAACTTACTATCATGAGAACAGCATGGGGGAAACTGCCTCCATGATTCAATTACCTTCACCTGGTCTCTCCCTTGACATGTGGGGATTATGGGGATCATGGGGATTACAATTCAAAATGAGATTTTGGGTGGGGACACAGCCAAACCATATCAATATGAAGAGCAAGAATTAAAATTAATTTTTATACTTAAAATGCTTTCTAACTTAATATTTATTTCTGGAAATTATATTTTATATATATAATATCCATTCAATAAAAATTTTATTATATATTCTTCACATAATGTTGTAAGGTATTGTAAGGTTCAGACATGAATAATTACCACTATCAAGGAAGCTTAGCATTTAATATTCCTCTTCTTTTCTTTTTTTTTTTTTTTTTTTTGAGACAGGGTCTTGTTCTGTCTCCCAAGCTGGAGGGCAATGTGGCAAGATGACAGCTCATTGCAGTCTTGACCTTGTGGACTCCTGTGATCCTCTTACCTCAGCCCCCTGATTATCTGGGACTGCAGGCACATGTCATCATGCCTGGCTAATTTTTATATCTTTTATAGAGACAGGGTTTTACTGTGTTGCCCAGGCCGGTCTTGAACCCCTGGACCTCCCAAAGTGCTGGGATTACAGGTGTGAGCAACCATACCTTGCCTGTAATGTTACTTCTTATGTCAAAAATCTGGAGACCTTTTCTCCCTTGCCTCAGTAAACTCTACCGCTAAATCAACTGGCTACTAAAAGAAGGTATACATTTTCGAGTAGAAATGAGGCTGAATATCTTAGGAAACACAGCTGTTAATTTAATGTAATTAATTATGATGTAATTATATTTATGATATAATTAAATCTTAGAGATTTACGGGATTTCTTACCTATATATAAAAACACGTCTCCCCTCCCCCACACCAAAGACTTTCTCTCTCTCTGTTTTAAAAAAAGATATACATATGGGGGTCTCACTACGTTGCCCAGGCTGGTCTCCATTCCTGGCCTTAAGTGATCCCTCCACCTTGGCCTCCCAAAGTGCTAGGATTGTAAGCATAAGCCACTGTGCCTGGCAAAAATTCTCTATTTGTATCAAAAAAGTATAGAAATGGCCCACTGCTCATTAGTTTTCATGGTGTTTTGTCCTCTATTTACAACAGGAAACTTGATACCCAAAGGTGCTATGTGCATACTCTTGGAATTTGACACTTGTCTTCTTACTCTGTGACAGGAGCAAGTCAGTTTGCTGACTCTCAGCGTTTATTCTTGCAAGTTGAGAAAAATCTCTCTATAATAGGACAGGACAGCTGTCAGCTCTCATGCAGTTTAACTTTCTAAGCTCACCTGTTTCTTTTAAATATAACATATTTTTGAAGAGGTATACACATTTTGATCATCAGTACAGCAGCAATTTCTCTACAATTTGTTTAATAACATTTCAAATTTGTTAGTTGGCATCCCCATGGACAAAAAGTTGATATTATAATATTATCCTAGTTAATCACCATAACTCCATCAAACATTATGTAGACTATAACAGTATACTAGGCAAATCCTGTGCCTCTATGCAAGAGACATAAAGATATTTTCCCATTTTGAAGAAATTATATAATAAGAAAAATAATGGGAAGGAACAGTATTAAGCAACAGCTGATCATTGCTAACAAGGGCAGACAAGCAAAGTCTGTAGGGAATCAAAGCAAAGCCAAAAGGAAGACTAGTAGAAGGTGAAGCTGGATTTCTACTAAACGAAGAAAGAGCTTGAGCTACATGTAGAGGAGAGAAGAAACATTGCATGAGGTGTGAAAAAATAAACTAATGTTCTGAGTCATAGTAAAAAAAATAAGACTACTATTCATTTATTTAATTATAAGGAAAACAATATGCTATCCAAACCAAGATTCGTTTGAAAGTTAAAGGAGGTGCTAAGAATTGAAAATGCTATATTATTTTAAAATTGTTTATTTTCCAACAAATCGATTTTATTATAATGTTGGACTTATTTAAAAGCTTGTATAATTAAAACTATTTTGAAAAATAAACTTCCTTGAAAATGGAATGTGTCAGAGCAAAATTGAAATATTTTTATTTTGATTATCTAAGTATGAAAAATTAACATAAATAGAATTATTACTCTTGGTTTCTGTTTATATTCTTAATCGGTTTCTTAGGTTTATGTGTCCCTAATGCCTATTCACTGATGTATTTCTGAGAGTGGTTCTTTCCCATATGGAATAATGTTTTCATATAATAATTTGCAATATTATTCAAAATTGCATTTTATGGTTTATAACTTTGAAACCATTGATGCTGTCTATTGACTCTCTTCTGAGAGCAACAATAGTATTTTGATAATATATTTTTTGGTGTACAGTTCTATGAATTTTAACACTTTCATAGATCATGTGTAACTATACAACAATCAGTGTGCAGAACGGATTCATTACCACAAAGCATGACCTCATGATATCCTTTTCTTTAGTCACAGAGTCCTTCTACCACTAGTCTCTGGAAACTATTGATGGCATCTGTCACTATAGATTTGTCTTCTTGAGAATATCATATAAATGGGCTCAACTTGTATGTGAACTTCTGAGACTGGCTTCTTTCACTTGTGTAATGTTTTTGAGATTCATCCAAGCTGAAGATAATCTGGGTTGTTTTTAGTTTTGTGAAATTACGTGAACACTTGTGTATAGATTTTTATTTGAAAATAAGTGTTGCTTTCTTTGGAACAAACACAGGAGTGTGATTACTGAGCCATAAAGTAAGTATTTAATTATCTTTATAAGAAAGTGTCAAACTATTTCAGAGTAGTCAGGCAATGTGCCATAACAATAGTCAATTCACGAGAGTTCCAGTTGCACTGACTCCTTGCTATCACTTGAAATTGTCAATACATTTCAATTTATTCATTCTAAAAAGTGTTACATTGATATCTCATTGCAGCTTTTAATTTGCGTTTTCTTACTCACTAGTAATGTTCAACATATTTTAATGTTCTTTTAAACTTTTATATATCCTTTTGATGAAGTGTCTGTTAAAGTCTTGCACTCATTTATTTTTTTAATTGGGGTATTTGTTTTCTTTCTGTCAAATATTGAGAGTTCTTTATATATTCTGAATACAAGCACTTTGTCAGATATATGATTGGCAAATATTCCCGCTTTGTAGCTTACTGTTACATTTAAGCACTTTGTCTAACATCAAGTAACAAAATATTTTTCTCCTTTTTCCATTCAATGATTTATAATTTTGCATTTAAATTTATGATTTCTTTTGACTTATTATATAAGATATGAGGTTGAGTTTCATTATTAGCTTGTGGACATCCAATTGTCCAGCATCAATTTTTGAAAAGATATTCTTCATTCATTGAATTTACCTCCTTGTCAAAAATCTATTAGCCATATATGTGGTCTATTCTGGATTCTTTGTTTCATTGATCCATGTATCTTTCTATTTGTCAATAACAACCTCAAAACAGTTTATATTACATGATAACTATATTTCTAGAAATACTGGGATCCCTTAATAATCTACTATGTATTAAACTATAGAAAATATCACATAACCCTGGTGCTTAATCTGAGCTGTTGTGCTTAACAGAAAGACTATGACTTTATAATAGTTACATAAAGGATTAGCCTCCATCTCCTCATCTGTAAAATTGACATAAATTATCTAAATTATAAGGGTAAAAAAGGTATTAAATGACTGCTTATTTAAAGTAAATAGCTCTTAATATATTTTCTTGATCGCATCGGCTCCTGAGGCTTCTGCATTCTTCACGTAGTTCTTGAGCCTTGGCTTTCAGCTCCATTAGCTCCTTTAAGCACTTCTCTGTATTGGTTATTCCAGTTATACATTCGTCTAAATTTTTTTCAAAGTTTTCAACTTCTTTGCCTTTGGTTTGAATTTCCTCCTGTAGCTCGGAGTAGTTTGATCGTCTGAAGCCTTCTTCTCTCAACTCGTCAAAGTCATTCTCCGTCCAGCTTTGTTCCGTTGCTGGTGAGGAGCTGCGTTCCACTAACCTGCACATTGTGCACATGTACCCTAAAACTTAAAGTATAATAATAATAAAATAAAAAAATATATATTTTCTTAATAAATGTTATTTTTTACTATTTAGCTCTTTATTCAGTCTACCAATATGCATTTTCCTAGCTTTCTTGAATTTTATTTTAATCATGTAACTCTTTAAAAATACATAAAGCATAGGAAAAGCAATAAACTAACCTCAATATAATTAATATGATTTTCAACTTAATTGCAGAAAAACAAAACAATTAATATAAAGAGAACATAGTTACAATAAAATGTACCTTCCTGTGGTATGAAGCTTTCAGAGAGGATTACTATTTTCCAATCGTGACCTTGAGCTAGAGATAAAAACAAAAGAGAACGTATCATGCAGCTCAGTACCCTTTAGATTTAGTGCATAGAGAACTAATCCATCTGTTTATGGTTCCTTTTTTTTGTCCCTAGATAACACTTAGTTAAAAGACACATGTTTCAACCTTCAAGATAAATTATCCTTTCAATTCTTAATGGTTGTAAGTGATAAAATCCAAGAGCAAATCAGCATGTGCATTAAAACTAGTGACATCTATGCCTTTGGCTTGCTGAGTGATTACCCCAATATTTAAAGGTTAAATGGTTATTTATACATTTATACATAGTTGGAGTTTATGAAAATAGTTGTCATTGCTCTCAACATTTAGGTGCTGTATAGGCATATGTAGGTAGATGAGGCAGGAGAATGGTTTAAATGATAAATAAAAATAAATAAATGTGCTAGGCTAAAAGAATTCAATGTCTATATTCAATGTAGTAGTCATCTTAATAAAACAGGAAAGTTGGAGAGGGAGAATTGATTTCATGGAACATGTTTCCTCCATCCGCACCATTTTAATGCACATCTGGGTGAAATCCCAGAGGTAACCTCAATGAATATGCTTTGGAATATTTTTTCGTAAGAACTCAAATGATGTTCTGTTAATTTAATTTTGTGCCCTTTGTTTTAACATCACAGTAAAAATGTTCACCTTTTAATATTGCTATAATTGTTCTCAGAACCTAGGTTTTGGGACTTTTGTTATATAGTAGAAGTCAGTGTATATGAGAACATTTTAGCTGGGATGGCTATAGGCAAACATAAATAAGAATTCTCTCTTTTCTCTCTCTCTCTCTCTCTCCTACTATTCCAATAGGCTTGTTTGAGGCTTCTGTTCCCACCAATGAAGTCAGCACACAATAAGAACTTGACATGGTTAAATGCTGTGATTTTCATAATATATTTTATAAATGTTGTTTTATGTCATATGTACTTATGTTGCTAGGCATTATTCTAAGTAAATTATACATATTTCTTTTATGTCTTTCAACTTTTATTAAAAAATCAATCATACAAAAAATACTCAAAAAAATGAAAATGGTGGTCACCACTAGCTGTATCTCTTTATGGTTTCTCAGAAGACAATGCAGCTCCTCCATAAGAACTCATGTGACTACACAGAACCCTCACACTCAGAACATCTAGAAGGCAGAAAAAATACAATCAGATTATCTCTAACTAAACAAAAAGAATAAAAAAGATAAGCCAAATATT
Organism: Homo sapiens; assembly: GCF_000001405.40. Lineage (NCBI taxonomy): Eukaryota > Metazoa > Chordata > Mammalia > Primates > Hominidae > Homo > Homo sapiens. Next base: position 102,819,137 of record NC_000006.12, on the reverse strand, counting down.
AGTGAAGCTATTTCTCACACTCCCTGGTCTCACTTCTGTGAAAGGAATGCCTTCCAGGTAAATTTTGCCAAAGAGAAGAAAGAACAAGCACCAAGACTTATCTGTAGTCACTGCCAGCAAGAAAAATTCCACTGTGAGTATGAAATTAAAGAAATGCGGTTGTTCAGATGACTAAACATAGAAAGGAATTAAAAGAGGGCACAGTTCTTTGTGCTAAGCTTTGAGAGGCATCATTGCTGGAGAAGAAAAAGGTAAAATAAAATGAGAGACTTTTTTAACATTCAGTAACTACGGCAATGGAAGAAAAAGTGGGAAATTGAGGGCTCTCCAAAAAAAAAAAAAAAAAAAAAGAAGGCAAATAAATAAATAGATAAATAATAGCAAAATTATCAAAGCTCACAAATCCCTTCTCCAATCACCAAAAATAAGCATAAAAAGAAACTTAGAATGAATGATTTAATAGTGATTAAAATCCTAAAGAAAATTGTACTCAATAGTGTTCATATCACTTCAAGAAAATAATGCATCAATACCATTAGGCATTTATTCCAGGAATGCAAGCTTGGTTTAATATTAGGGAATCTATTAATATAATATACCATTAATATATTGAAGAAGAAACATTCTATGCTTATCTCCAAAGCTGATGAAGAATCCTTTGGCAAAAATAAATGACTGCTCCTCTTAAAAATATAACTAAGAAAATACCTAGATAGATACTTCCTTAACATGATAAAAACAAATACATTATTTACAAAGCTAGTATTCTGCTTAATGTGGAAATATTAGTATTGCCACTAACATCAGACAAAAATAAATATGACTAAAACCTCTACTATTGAACACTATACTAGATATATCTATCTGCAACAGAAATAAATTATTGCTACAAATTGGAAAATTAGATGTACAATCATTTCTGTTTGCCCATGACACGATAGTATATCTAGAACCTTCCTAGAATCAATAATAAATTTGACTCAGCAATAAAATAATTCACTAAGGTAGCAGAAGACGATTAATACAAAAAATCAAGAACCTTTTTAAGATAAAAAAGAAAAAAGAAAAAAAGGTTTACTTTTTCACTTAAAGGAAGCACTTTATGGCTTCTGTTTGACATAACCATAGATATAAAACAACTAGTTCAAAGACATAATGATAGAGAGAAACATAGAAACATAGAAACATAGAAATTGTTTATAAAGATAACTTTAAAATACCTCTGAAAGAGACGTATTACATTTGAACAAATGGAAATAAATATTTTATTGTTTAATAATATTACCATCACAAAGGTGACTCTTCTTCCTAAGTAACTATGAATTTATTAGACTATCAATAAAATATCTATAAACTTTTAGGGATGTAGAAAAGCTTATTACAATTTTGTAAGGATAACTAGGATAGCTGAAATCATGCATGTGAACAGTTTATTAAACACTCTGTAAAGCCACTCTATTTAAAACAGTATGATAGAGTGCAAAATCAAAAACAGACCAGTGAAATAAAATAGAAAATCCAAAAATATATGTAAGCTATCCAGTACATTTAATGTATTATAAAGATGACCTGTGAAGTTACTAGAGTGTAGGCAGATACTTTAATAAATTGTGTTGGGATGGTTTCATAGCCCACTGAAAAAGATAACATGCGTTATAATGCACAATAAACTCCAAACATTTAAGATATCTAACAAAACAGACTCAAGTAGAGGAAAAAAAAAGCATTGGTGAAGTTTTATATATTCTAGATGTACAGAAAGAAGTTCTAACTGACTCAAAACCCTGAAGGAATTTAAGGAATCATTTATATATTCAAATACATTTACACATTTTATGTAACAAAAAATCTAAACATTATAAAATAATTCTAAAGACAATGGAAAGTTGTAGAACATGTTTGCAACAAAAATCACAGTTAAAATGTGATACCTTTCATATATAAAAAATTCAAAATTTAGGAAAAAAACAAAAACCTGATAAAATAAGTTGACAACAAATAATAGACAATGTACAAAATTATACTGATTATTCAACTACTTAAAACATTCAACTTTACTAAGAATGAGAGAAAAGAAAAGTAGAACTACAAAGAACTATCATTTATCAACTACTAGATCAGCAAAAATTGCCAAAGTTAATAAACTCTGTTGACAAGGCTATGGGAAAATAGGCTGTTGGGAATTTAAAATGGTATAACACGGGAGTGGGTGTGAACAAGATGGAAGAGATTGATGGAGGAGTGACATATCTTTTAGTATATCTTTATACAGAGTTTTGAATGTTAGAACCATATTATTAATCTCAAAAATAAATAAGAAAGACTAAGTACTGAGAAAGAGTACAAACCAAAACATATAAATAACATAAGCACTTTAAAAGGGAAAAAGACCTAATCAAAGTTTTAATCATAACACTTTCCTATATAGCCTTAGGCTAAAGATCAAAAATTGAGTTTAAGTAAACAGAAAAGTCTAGCTAAAAGTTTACTTTCACAGTGGTGTAGGCAAGCAATTGCAAAAATTCTTTCTAGGTATTTTGAAATTGAGCAAATGATTACTATATTGAGAATAATAGGAAGCTGGTTCTCACCGGTGAAAGAAAATTGGAATATTAGAAACGAGTTAGGCTAGAGTTAACCCTTTTGTCCTGCATTGAGATATTAAAAACCTATGTGTGTGTATATATTTGTACATACACAGACACACACACACACATATACATACATATGTATATATACGTGTGTGTGTATATATATTTGTGTGTGTGTGTGTGTGTGTGTGTGTATGTATATATATATATATATATATATATATATATATATATATATATATATATATATGGTAGTCCTTTCTTATCTGCAGGGATATGGTCCAAGAAACCCTGTTGATGCTTGAAACTAAGGATAGTACTGAACCCTATTATCATCTGTCAGAACATATTTCTGCTCATGTCTTTCATGCTCTAATGCCTTTCCAATCTTAACTAAGCACTTATCACACACTGGCCCTAATTTTTGCAGTTTGAAGAGCTCCAGCAAAACTAGTGATATGGTTTGGCTATGTCCCCACCCAAATCTCACCTTTAGTTGTAATAATCCCCACGTCAAGGATGAGGCCAGGTGGAGATAATTGAATCATGGCGGCTATTTCCCTGATACTGTTTTTATGGTAGTAAGTCTCACGAGATCTGATGGTTTTATAAACTGGAGTTCCCCCGCACAAGATCTCTTGCCTATCACTATGTAAGACATAACTTTGCTCCTCTGTCACCTTCTGCCATGATTGTGAGGCCTCCCCAGCCATGTGAAACTGTGAGTCCATTAAACCTCTTTTTCTTACAAATTGCCCAGTCTCGGGTATGTCTCTGTAAATTGCCCAGTCTGGTATGTGAGAACAGACTAATACAACTAGCATGAATTTTTTTTTCCTTCTTCACAATTTGGAGATTAGAAGATTCATTCTTACCGTAGATTTCAGCACCTTCAGCATATTTTTTTTCTTTTTAAGAAAAAGGGTGTACTTTTTCACTTAAAGGAAGCATTTTATGGCTTCTCTTTGACATATCCAAATTGCCAACATCAGTACTCTTGCACTTTGTGGCCAGTATCAACTAAAATAAGTGTTACTTGAACGCAAGAACTGCAATACTGCCACAGTCGATCTAATAACAAAGATAGCAACTATGTGCCTAAGGAGTAGAGTAGCCAATTACCTGGTTGAGGTGAACAAAGGGATGATTCACACCCTGGGCAGCAGGAGATTTCACCATGCTACTCAGTGAATCACTTAAAATTTATAAATCGTCTATTTCTGAAATGTTCTACTTAATATTTTCAGACTGTGCTTGACCACAGATCACTGAAATCACAGAAGGCAACCTGTGGAAAAGGATATACCGTGTGTATATGCACACATGGACCTCTTGCTGTCATACAAAACTAAAGCAGAGAAATGCATGTAAAATAGCTTTAGGATATGTGACTATTAAATACATCTCTTGGCATATTGAATGTTTTAAACTGAAGGAATTTGAGAAAATGACTGAAGGAGAAAGTTCATTTTGACTTCCTCTCATCTCTTCCCTGAAGCAGTTCACAAAAACTAGGAAGACTTCTCTTACCTTCCGCTGAAGCAGGTCGTAGAGTTTCATGTGACAGATGCCCTCCCCATACCTGGTGGAAACAGGCATCCTTATCACTGAAGACACAGGGACTCAGAAGAATATGATCAAATAAGCCTTGCTGAGTTCCCCCCACCCCAGTTTATTAGCACTAGATTATATCATTTTTGCCCTATTAGACTTCTCCAAACTGTGCAATTTCCACTAAACCTACTATAAAAAAACACTAAGGCTTAACTGTTTTTCAGGGTCTTCATTTTCTTGTAAAGACTCCTGTGCCAGGTAAAACTGACATTAAATAAACTTGTATGCTTTTATCTTTTCAATATGTTTTTTGGTATAGGGGCTTCAGCCATGAATCCAAAATGGGTAAAGGAAGATATATAATTGTTTTCTCTATACCTGTCAACGACACAATACAACCAACTTGAAAGATCTCCCAATAGTCAAAACTTAGAAATTTTAACATCCAAAGAAATGATAGTAACAGGATTTTTGTGGAATTAAGCAAGAAACTATGAGTGCATATTGACAAAAATGAATGTATAAATGAATCAATGAGAGAAAAGGGAATGCCCCGTCTTACGATATAATAGTATTTCACAGGACCAGATAGTAAAAAGGATACAAAAGACTTCAGAGAGCATACTTGTGAAAAACATTCAACAAAGGCAAAATATATAGCACAGCAAAAGAAAGAGTATACAGACAAGAATTATTAGCCTGAGAGACTCCTAGGCACAGTTCCCCAGAATTATTCTTTTTTTCTTTGAGACGGAGTCTCACTCTGTCGCTCAGGCTGGAGTGCAGTGACACCATCTCTGTTCACTACAACCTCTGCCTCCCAGGTTCGAGTGATTCTCCTGCCTCAGCCTCCCGAGTAGATGGAATTACAGGCATCCGCCAGCATGCCCGGCTAATTTTTCTATTTTTAGTAGAGACAGGATTTCACCGTGTTGGCCAAGCGGGCCTGGAACTCCTGACCTCAAGTGATACCCCGTCTCAGCCTCCCAAAGTGCTGGGATTAAAGGCATGAGCCACTGTGTCTGGATGCAAAATTATTCTTTTGTTAAATCTACGTTTAATTTTTATAGATATATAATTGTGTGCATTTATGGGACATATGATATTTTGATACAAGCATACACTGTATAATGATAAAATCCATGTAATTGTGATATCCATCACCTACAAACATTTATCATTTCCTTGTGTTGGGAACATTCCACAAGATGCGCTTCATCTTTGAAATAGAAAGCACTATGACTTGTACAAAGCATCTAGGTTTTGAAAGAGCTTCTGAAAAATTCCCAGTGGGAACTTGTATACTCTTCTAGTCACATGGCCAAGCCAACCTGTATAACCAGTTACACCAGGTATAATCCATGAATATGCAAACTGGCCTGGTGACACCAGGAAAGTTTCAAACTTTAAACACTATATTATACATCATTTGTTAGTCCTTTCACTCTTCTCTTGGCCAAGAGTCAGTTTCAAACTTCCAGGCATCCCTGGAGATATGAATTGAGCTATTCTAGTTCAGCTGAAAGTAACTTTTACAAGTACTGATAGATAGAAAAAATGATAGCATTAGAAACAACAACACTTAGAAACTATTATAAAAATCGAGTAAGACAAAAATCGAGTGCATGAGCTAAACTAGCAGGCAAAAGTTTAATGAGGATCAGGATGTTTGAATATTGTCAAAGTAACTCACTCCAAACTACATATATATATATATATGTGTGTATATATATATATGTGTATATATATATATGTGTGTATATATATATATGTGTGTATATATATGTGTGTGTGTATATATATATATGTGTGTGTGTATATATATATATATATATATATATATATATATATATATATATATTTAAAGAAGGACCAATAATTTTATAGTGGATTTACCTAGCAGCTATCTCCTTAGGCAAATAATCAAAGTTACCATCAGCAATAATGGGACAAACTGACACATGTGCTTCCTAATATGAGGCACTGAGGGAGACACAGCATCACTTCTGTGATGTTCCTATCAAAAGTGCATCATTTAAATATAATCATTAGCAAGCAGGAGTCAGAACTAAATGGAGGAGCACTCCATAAAATAAGTCTCCTGCAATTTTTTTAAAATGTCAAGGTCATGAAAGCCAAGGAAAGGCTAAGGAATTCTTACAGATTAAAAAAGACTAATGTAATGTGGTAAATAAATGTAATGCATGGATTGAATTGAACCTTATATTGAAAAAACAAAAATAGCTAATAAGGACAATAACAAAGCAATAGATGAAATTTGAATATGTACAATTGATTCACATAAAAAGAACTGTGACACTGTACTAATTAATGATTTTGATAATTGTAGTGTGGTTATATATTCTTGGGAAAGTACTCTAATATTTAAGGGTAAATGTGTAGAATGTCAGGGACAAAATATTAAATGTCTCCAACTTTTATATTTACATATGAATGACACACACGTGTTTACTCACATACCTGAATGAAACACAATACAATGTGTGCTCTTAGGCTGATTCCCTGACTCAGATTTAAACTATAGTAAAAACGTCCAAATTGCGAAATAAATGACATTTCATATGTTGTTTGATTCAGTCCTACAAGATAAAATAACAATGCTGACCACTGACTAATTGAAATCTTATGGGTTACTGTAATAAAAGTTGAGGTATCCCCAACCACTTCCTTATTTTAAATAACTAATTACATGGTTCTCATCTTAACATGTGGAAAATCACATTCTTCAGTTTAGACCAAATTGATGGAAAAAAAAATGTGAACTCCCTAAAACTTTTCTTGATGATGTTGGTTAATTTTAGGACTTTTAAAATAAAATATATTACATAACGATATATTTTCTAACCTTTGAATCACTATTAATAAAACAATGCAAATTCCTTCTAACATGACCTATTTTAATTCCCATTTTATAAGAAAGAAAAATGAGTCTTAGAGATTTTAAATGCATTATCCAGGATCACTCAGCTTTGAGTAAAAAAGCCAAGACAAAACCTATATTTGTCTGATACTAGTACCATTACTCTTTTCTTTTTCTTGATATTTTGGTTTATTTATACATCATGAAATGATTAAATGAAGCTGATTTACATATACTTATTTTCATGGTGACAATATTTAAGATATACTCTTTTAGCAATTTTCAAGCATCATTGCTTTTACTCACTCTTCTATACTTTATTATTCTCAGTAAAATCCTGCAGGACATAAAATGTGAAATGTGGTGGAAATGATGCTGTGATAGGTATGAGCCTAGACACTAAAGAGATCTGGCAGGTACCACTTTCTCTTTGGAGAAGCCTACTGCTACACATACAGACACACACACACACACACACACATAGGAAGAGAAAGAGAGTTATACTTCCAAATAACAGTGCTAGTAAAGATTTAAATTAGGAAAAACATAAATAATACATAAAATTCCTTCTAAATTCTAGTTAACTCAGCAGTTTTTGACTATGAGATGGTTCGAAGAATAACTTTTTTTTTTTTTTTTTTGAGACGGAGTCTCACTCTGTCGCCCAGGCTGGAGTGCAGTGGCACGATCTCGGCTCACTGCAAGCTCCGCCTCCCGGGTTCACGCCATTCTCCTGCCTCAGCCTCCTGAGTAGCTGGGACTACAGGCGCCCACCACCACGCCTGGCTAATTTTTTATATTTTTAGTAGAGACGGGGTTTCACCGTGTTAGCCAGGATGGTCTCGATCTCCTGACCTCGTGATCCGCCCGCCTCGGCCTCCCAAAGTGCTGGGATTACAGGCGTGAGCCACCGCGCCCGGCCGAATAACTATTAAAGTCTATTTGGGATACAATATAGATAAAGACCGTGAGCAAGATAGCATAAAAAACTTATTTTCTGCCTATGTTTTACTTATAGCAGCACATTTCTGCCCTTACTCACCCCATTTATGATAGGGGAGCATGCCCATTCCGTAGGGCCAGACTGAGGAGAGCATATATCCCGTGTTTGCCATCCTCATCTGTACTCTTTGCCTCACAAATTATTTTTATACTAAGCAAACTGTTCTCTCCCCAACGAATTGAAAACAAAAGCAAAAACAAAAAAATTCAAATTTTTATATATTTGCTTTAACAACAGGTACTTTTGAGTGTGTATGTGTATGCATATTCATATCAGTGTCTGGGATCTAACTTAATCTTATTAGTTGTAACTTTTTCCCCCTTAAGATTTTGTAAGTATGCGATAATAGCATATATGAATAAAAGTTTTGTTTCTTCCTTTTAACTTGAACTGAATTTCTCTTTTGTACTTTAGAGCAATGGTTAAATTGTTTAATATAAGCGGTGAGAGCAGACATCATTGTATTTGTCTGTTGGATGTTGTGGAGAAATAGTCAACAAATAAAATATCTGTTAATTATAATACTTGGATAGTTAAAAATTTCACAGTATTTTAAAATTTATTTACCTTCTTTTTGGTAGTTTGAGGGAGAGGTAAATGTGTATTAGGGATGATATAAAATATTAAATGTATAGAAAGTTATGAGTGTTATTGTCCAGTTGCATATATTTGAGAGGGAAAAAAACTTTTTGTGGTGAGGAATGCAGTTTTTATTTTTTTAAATAAAGTTTGCTATACATAGAATATTTCTAACAATTAAAAGAATGATCTCTATCAAGTAATATTTTTCTGCACTCTTAATTTAAATAAATAAGAAGATAAATGAACATATATTAGAAAATCATTCAGAAATAAATATTTCTATTTCATTGAATTAACCAATATATACAAATCTTATATTTGTATTCTAAAATTCATTATAATTATTCAACATGATTATGAAAATATAATTATGCTAAAAGGTTATACAATTTCTTAGTTATAATACAATTATTTTAAAATTAGGATAAAAATAAATTTTTATTGTTCTTTTTTGCTATGTCTATAATGTCTGAATGTTTTAAAACGTGATTCCTCCCCTAATATGCTATGTGATTAAAATATATATATTATCTCAAAGAGAATATATTACCCCAAGATAATTATCCCAAATATATATAATATATATTAAGATAAATAATATATATTATATTGTGTGTAAAATAATATATATTATTTATTTTAAGCTATGTGATTAAAAATGTATATATCTTTATATATATACCTATATTTGGGATAATTGTCATATTCTATTTGAAATTTTGGGTTGATAGCATAAACATTTATTTTTACTGAGAATGTTAGTAATTGTGTGTATTCTAAGAACTTAATTTTTTAGAATATTAAATTGTATTTTTAAATATTTAGCAATATTTTCAAATATTTAGAGAAATTATAGCTAAGATTTTGTATCTATGAGTTCCACATCCATGGACTTAACTAACCAGAAATTGAAAATGTTAAAAAACCAAAAAAAAAAGTGATTCTGTTCCAAGATGGCTGAATAGGAACAGCTCCAATCTGCAGCTCCCTGTGTGATCCATGCAGAAGACAGGTGATTTCTGCATTTCCAACTGAGGTACCTGGTTCATCTCACTGGGACTAGTTGGACAGTGGATGCAGCCCATGGAGGGTGAGCTGAAGCAGAGCGGGGCATCACCTCACCCGGGAAGTGCAAGGGTTTGGGGATTTCCCTTTCTTAGCCAACGGAAGTCGTGACAGATGGTACCTGAAAAATTGGGACACTCCTGCCCAAATACTGTGCTTTTCCAATCTCCTGTCTTAGCAAATGACACACCAGGGGATTATATTCCGCACCTGGCTCAGTGGGTCCCACGCCCAGAGAGCCTTGCTCACTGCTAGCGCAGCAATCTGAGATCTACCTGCAAGGCAGCAGCCTGGCAGGGGGAGCGGCGTCCGCCATTGCTGAGGCTTGGGTAGGTAAACAAAGCAGCCAGGGAACCTCGAACTGGGTGGAGCCCATGGTAGCTCTGCAAGGCCTGCTGCCTCTGTAGACCCCACCTCTGGGGGCAGGGCATAGCTGAACAAAAGGCAGCAGAAACTTCTGCAGACTTAAACATCCCTGTCTGACAGCTCTGAAGAGGGCAGTGGTTCTCCCAGCACCATGTTTGAATGAACTCTGAGAATGAACAGACTGCCTCCTCAAGTGGGTCCCTGACCCCCGTGTAGCCTAACTGGGAGACACCTACCAGTAGGGGCCGACTGACACCTCATACAAGTGGGTGCCCTTCTGGGATGAAGCTTCCAGAGGAAGGATCAGTCAGCAATATTTGCTGTTCTGTAATATTTGCTGTTCTGCAGTCTCCGCTGGTGATACCCAGGCAAACAGGGTCTGGAGTGGACCTCCAGCAAACCCCAACAGAGCTGTAGCTGAGGGAGCTGACTCTTAGAATGAAGACTAACAAACAGAAATGAATAGCATCATCATCAACAAAAGGGACATCCACACCAAAACCCCATCTGTAGGTCACCAGCATCAAAGACCAAAGGTAGATAAAACTACAAAGATGGGGAGAAACCAGACCAGAAAAGCTGAAAATTCTAAAAATCAGAGCACCTCTTCTCCTCCAAAGGATTGCAGCTCCTTGCCAGCAATAGAACAAAGCTGGACGAAGAATGACTTTGACGAGCTGACAGAAGTAGGCTTCAGAAGGTCAGTAATAACAAACTTTTCTGAGCTAAAGGAGGATGTTTGAACCCATCTCAAGGAAGCTAAAAACCTTGAAAAAAGATTAGCCGTATGGCTAACTAGAATAAACAGTGTAGAAAGGACCTTAAATGACCTGATGGAGCTGAAAACCATGGCATGAGAACTACATGATGCATGCACAAGCTTTAATAGCTGATTCAATCAAGTGGAAGAAAGGGTATCAGTGATTTAACATCAAATTAATGAAATAAAGTAAGAGGAGAGGTTTAGAGAAAAAAGAGCAAAAAGAAATGAACAAACCCTCCAAGAAATATGGGACTATGAGAAAAGAACAAATCTATGATTGATTGGTGTACCTGAAAGTGATGGGGAGAATGGAAACAAGTTAGAAAACACTCTTCAGGATATTATCCAGGAGAACTTCCCCAACCTAGCAAGGCAGGCAGACATTCAAATTCCAGAAATACAGAGAACATCACAAAGATAATCCTCAAGAAGAGCAACCCCAAGACACATAGTTGTCAGATTTACCAAGGTTGAAATGAGGAAAAAATGTTAAGGGCAGCCAGAGAGAAAGGTCGGGTTACCCACAAAGGGAAGCCCATCAGGCTAACAGCCGATCTCTTAGCAGAAACTCTATAAGCCAGAAGGGAGTGGGGGCCAATATTCAACATTCTTAATGAAAAGAATTTTCAACCCGGAATTTCATATCCAGCCATACTAAGCTTCATAAGTGAAGGAGAAATAAAATCCTTTATAGACAAGCAAATGCTGAGAGATTTTGTCACTACCAGACCTTCCTTGCAAGAGCTCCTGAAGGAAGCACTAAACATGGAAAGGAACAACTGCTACCAACCACTGCAAAAGCATTCCAAATTGTAAAGACCATCGATGCTAGGAAGAAACTGCATCAACTAACGGGCAAAATAACCAGCTAACATCATAATGACAGGATCAAATTCACATATAACAATATTAACCTTAAATGTAAATGGGCTAAATGCCCCAATTAAAAGACATAGACTGGCAAATTGGATAAAGAGTTAAGACCCATCAGTGTGCTGTATTCAGGAGACCCATCTCATGTGCAGAGACAAACATAGGCTCAAAATTAAGGGACAGAGGAAGATCTACCAAGCTAATGGAAAGGAAAAAAAAAAAAACATGCAGGGATTGCAATCCTAGTCTCTGATAAAACAGACTTTAAACCAACAAAGATCAAACGAGACAAAGAAGGCCATTACATAATGGTAAAGGGATCAATTCAACAAGAAGAACTAACTATCCTAAATATGTATGCATCCAATACAGGAGCACCCAGATTCATAAAGCAAGTCCTTAGAGACCTACAAAGAGACTTAGACTCCCACACAGTAATAATGGGAGACTTTTCACTCCACTGTCAATATTAGACATCAACGAGACAGAAGATTAACAAGAATACCCAGGACTTGAACTCAGCTCTACACCAAGTGGACCTAATAAACATCTACAGAACTCTCCACCCGAAATCAACAGAATATACATTCTTCTCCACACCACATCACACTTATTCCAAAACTGACCACATAGTTGGAAGTAAAGCACTCCTCAGCAAATGTAAAAGAACAGAAATCACAACAAACTGTCTTTCAGACCACAGTGCAATCAAATTAGAACTCAGGATTAAGAAACTCACTCAAAACTGCACAACTACATGGAAACTGAACAACCTGCTCCAGAGTGACTACTGGGTACATAACGAAATGAAGGCAGAAATAAAGATGTTCTTTGAAACCAATGAGAACAAAGACACAACATACCAGAATCTCTGGGACACATTTAAAGCAGTGTGTAGAGGGAAATTTATAGCACTAAATGCCCACAAGAGAAAGCAGGAGAGATCTAAAATCGCCACCTTAACCTCATAATTAAAAGAACTAGAGAAGCAAGAGCAAACACATTCAAACGCTAGCAAAAGGCAAGAAATAACTAAGATCAGAGCAGAACTGAAGGACATAGAGACACAAAAAACCTTCAAAAAATCAATGAATCCAGGAGCTGGTTTTTGAAAAGATCAACAAAATTGATAGACTGCTAGCAAGACTAATAAAGAAGAAAAGAAAGAAGAATCATATAGACACAATAAAAAATGATAAAGAGGATATCACCACCAATCCCACAGTAATACAAACTACCAGCAGAGAACACTATGGAAACCTCTACACAAATAAACTAGAAAATCTAGAAGAAATGGATAAATTCCTGGACACATACACCCTCCCAAGACTAAACCAGGAAGAAGTTGAATCTCTGAATAGACCAATAACAGGCTCTGAAATTGAGGCAATAATTAATAGCCTACCAACGAAAAAAAGACCAGGACCAGACGGATTCACAGCCAAATTCTACCAGAGGTACAAGGAAGAGCTGGTACCATTCCTTCTGAAACTATTCCAATCAATAGAAAAAGAGGGAATCCTCCGTAACTCTTTTTATGAGGCCAGTATCATCCTGATACCAAAGCCTGGCAGAGACACACACAAAAACGAGAATTTTAGACTAATATCCCTGATGGACATCAATGCAAAAATCCTCAATAAAATACTGGCAAACCGAATCCAGCAGCACATCAAAAAGCTTATCCACCACGATCAAGTCAGCTTCATCCCTGGGTTGAAAGGCTGGTTCAACATATGCAAACCAATAAACGTAATCCATCACATAAACAGAACCGATGACAAAAACCACATGATTATCTCAATAGATGCAGAAAAGGCCTTTGACAAAATACAACAGCCCTTCATGATAAAAACTCTCAATAAGCTCGGTATTGATGGAACGTATCTCAAAATAATAAGTACTATTTATGACAAACCCACAGCCAATATTATACTGAATGGGCAAAAACTGGAAGCATTCCCTTTGAAAACGGGCATAAGACAGGGATGCTCTCTGTCGCTTCTCCTATTCAACATAGTGTTGGAAGTTCTGGCCAGGGCAATGAGGCAAGAGAAAGAAATAAAGGGTATTCAGTTAGGAAAAGAGGAAGTCAGATTGTCCCTGTTTGCAGATGACATGACTGTATATTTAGAAAACCCCATCACCTCAGCCCAAAATCTTCTTAAGCTGATAAGCAACTTCAGCAAAGTTTCAGGATACAAAATCAATTGCAAAAATCCCAGGCATTCCTACATACCAATAACAGACAAACAGAGAGCCAAATCATGAGTGAGCTCCCATTCTCAATTGCTACAAAGAGAATAAAATACCTAGGAATCCAACTTACAAGGGATATGAAGGACCTCTTCAAGGAGAACTACAAACCACTACTCAATGAAATAAAAGAGGACGCAAACAAATGGAAGAACATTCCATGCTCTTGGATAGGAAGAATCAATATCGTGAAAATGGCCATACTGCCCAAGGTAATTTATAGATTCAATGCCATCCCCATCAAGCTACCAATAACTTTCTTCACAGAATTAGAAAAAACTACTTTAAAGTTCATATGGAACCTAAAAAGAGCCTGTATTCCCAAGACAATCCTAGGCAAAAAGAACAAAGCTGGAGGCATCACGTTACCTGAATTCAAACCATACTACAAGACTACAGTAACAAAAACAGCATGGTACTGGTACCAAAACAGGAAGCTAGATCAATGGAACAGAACGGAGGCCTCAGAAATAACACCACACATGTACAACCATCTGATCTTTGACAAACCTGACAAAAACAAGCAATGGGGAAAGGATTCCCTATTTAATAAATGGTGCTGGGAAAACTGGCTAGCCATATGTAGGAAGCTGAAACTGGATCCCTTCCTTACACCTTATACAAAAATTAACTCAAGATGCATTAAAGACTTAAATGTTAGACCTAAACCATAAAAACCCTAGAAGAAAACCTAGGCAACACCACTCAGGACATAGGCATGGGGCAAGGACTTCATAACTAAAACACCAAAAGCAATGGCAACAAAAGCCAAAATAGACAATTGGGATATAATTAAGCTAAAGAGTTTCTGCACAGCAAAAGAAACTACCATCAGAGTGAACAGGCATCCTATAGAATGGGAGAAAATTTTTGCAATCTACCCATCTGACAAAGGGCTAATATCCAGAATCTACAAAGAACTTAAACAAATTTACAAGAAAAAAACAAACAACCTCACCAAAAGTGGGCAAAGGATAAGAACAGACACTTCTCAAAAGAAGACATTAATGCAGCCAACAGACACATGAAAAAATGCTCATCATCACTGGTCATCAGAGAAATGCAAATCAAAACCACAATGAGATACCATCTCACACCAGTTAGAATACCGATCATTAAAAAGTCGACACCACAGATGCTGGAGAGGATGTGGAAAAATAGGAACGCTTTTACACTGTTGGTGGGACTGTAAACTAGTTCAACCATTGTGGAAGATAGTGTGGCGATTCCTCAAGGATCTAGAACTAGAAATACCATTTGACCCAGCGATCCCATTACTGGGTATATACCCAAAGTATTAAAAATCATTCGACTATAAAGACTCATGCACACGTGTGTTTATTGTGGCACTACTCACAATAGCAAAAACTTGGAAACAACCCAAATGGCCATGAATAATAGACTGGATTAAGAAAATGTGGCACATATACACCGTGGAATACTGTGCAGCCATTAAAAAGGATGAGTTCATGTCCTTTGCAGGGACATGGATGAAACTGGAAACCATCATTCTGAGCAAACTATCACAAGGAGAGAAAACCAAACACCACATGTTCTCACTCATAGATGGGAACTGAACAATGAGAACACTTGGACACAGAGCAGGGTACATCACACACGGGGGCCTCTCACGGGGCGGAGGGCAGGGGGAGGGATAGCATTAGGAGAAATACCTAATGCAAATGAGGAGTTAATTGATGCAGCAAACCAACATGGCACATGTATACATATGTAACAAACCTGCACATTGTGCACATGTACCCTAGAACTTAAAGTATAATAATAATATTAATAAGCATCTATAATGAAGATGTCAAATCTTTTTTTTTGCCATTATTTTCTAAACAAAATTGTATAACAACTGTTTACATATTTACATTATATTAGGTATTATAAGTAATACTGAGATGATTTAAACTATACGGGACAATGTGCATAGGTTATATGCAAATACTATACCATTTCATATAAGAAACTTGAGCATACATAGCTCAAGTACCCACAGGAGCACCTGGAGCAAATCCCCCATGGATACTGAGAGAACACTGTATAATAATCTGGGAGAAACACAGGTACTGTTTAATAGTGCAAGCATCAAGAGAGTACATTGAAATTATACAAAATTATATGTTTTACAGAACAATATATTTTATAACATGTAATATATAATGTGTCCATAATTTTCTATCATTTTCAGTGGTAAGATGAGATCTGAGTGAAATGCATGTAGTCGGAACTTTCAAAATGACAATTATGCTGGATATTCTCTTGATTTCAAGTATTTGTTTAACTCAAAATTTTGTCTCATATATATAACATATATTTAACAAATTGGAGCATGGTTAATAAATATAAAAATGATTTCTGGCATATAATGTTAATACAGGGATTTTCATGAAAAATGTTATTTAATCAAAAATATAATAGCTATGAAGAAATGTGATTAAAATACAAATTGTTTTTACCTAGCAAAGGATTAGACAAAAACATTTTTGAAGTCATAAATCACTTTAGAGAAAAGATTGTGATAATTTATCCATTGTAAGAAACATTAAATTTTATTATAAAATGATTGTACTGACCTGGAAGAAATGTGAATTGGCTCTGAGTGGCCTGAATTTGGTATGTAAGGATCATGAAATGTAAACCCACAGGTAGTGATAACCTTGAAACTAATAGAAATGAGATTCTCACAGGAAGGAGAGAAAGTATAAATTCTAATAAGGTTTGTTTACAAGATAAATATACAAACTGTGATAATTATTTATAAAGCAATAAAGATTGGCACATTCATACGAACAACATAAAATTATGGTAGCATTTTAAGTTCTGATTGTACTAATTAAATTATGACTATAGCCTGAGTATGGTGGCTCAGGCCCGTAATCCCGGTGCTTTGGAAGGCCAAGGCAGGAGGATCCCTTGAGGCTAGGAGTTCAAGACTAGCAACATAGTGAGACTTTCACCTCTATAAACAATTTTTTTTTAAATTAGTGGGCATGGTAGTGCATGCCTGGTCCTAGCTAAACTTAGTAAAGATATAAGTATAATTATGTAATTTTTATACTACCAATAGTTTAACATTTTATTTCTCCACACTATGGATACAAATTTTAAAGTACGTGAATAAAATATGTTATTGTGGTAGTTCGAATTCACCAAAAGATGTTCATGTCTTAATCTCTGGTACTTGTAAATATGTAATATTACATGACAAAGGGACTTTGCAGCAGTCATTAAGGATATAGACTTTGTTTAGGAAGGTAATACTATATAATCCAGCTGGGATCAATCTAGTCACAATGCCCTTTAAAAACAGAGAGATATGGCCAGGCGTGGTGGCTCAGGCTTGTAATCCCAGCACTTTGGGAGGCGAGGCAGGTGGATCATGAGGTCAGGAGATCGAGACCATCCTGGCCAACATGGTGAAACCCCGTCTCTACTAAAAACACAAAAAATAGTCGGGCATGGTGGCATGCACCTGTATGTAGTCCCAGCTACTCAGGAGACTGAGGCAGGAGAATCGCTTGAACCCGGGAGGCGGAGGCTGCAGTGAGCCAAGATCGTGCCACTGCATTCCAGCCTGGGCGACAGAGCGAAAAAAAAAAAAAGAGAGAGAGGGATGTGGCAGAAGAGGAACGCTGCGGAAGGCAAAGTTGGAACGATTTCAAGCGTGAGAACTCAGTGTGCCATTATCGACCCTTAGATGCAGGAGTTCATTTGCAGAGCACAGAGAGAGGCCTCAAGGAGCCAGGATTGATCCTTAGCTGACAGCTCTCAAGGAACAGAGACCTTAGCCTTCTAACTACAAGAAGCTCGATTTTGCCAGTAATCTCAATGAGTTCGGGATTGGGTTCATCCCCAGAGCCTTCAGTAAAACAGACGATGTGGCCAACATCTTGATTTTGAGGCCTGTGAGACACATGCTGGACTTCTGATCTACAGAACTGTGAGATAATCAATGAGTGTTATTTTAAGCTGCTAATTTTTTTGATAACTTTTTATGGCAACAATAAAAAACTAACTCAGTTATACAAGACAAAAGGCAGAAGAAAGCTATCACCTCTTGTTATCCAATTCAGGAGCTAGAAACAGAACAAATTAGAAAAACCAGTTTAGTCTTCCAGACATATCTTAGTTACAACCTACTGAATGGAAAGATAAAGTATAATTCAGAGCTATCATTGGAAACAGACTTGCTTAAGTTTCAAAGTAAGAAGTTTCACATAGCACTATTTGTGCTTATGCTAGGACTGAATAAAAAAAACATTTTATTCTCAAATTTTCTGGGCTTTCTTTTCAACTTCTAGTAGTTGCTATATCTACTACTCAGGTAATAAAAACAGTTGCATGTTGGCAGGTTGCTTTGGGCATCACCGAGGAGATAAAATCTGAAAATAAGCCTGGTTAATACTGGGAAGAAAACACTTTAAATGTGTAGACCTTCTTTCAGTGAGTCTACACATTTGTTTTATATTAAATAAATGTTTTACATGTTGATATTTATACGTTAATGAATTTATTTACTAACTGTGCAAAATGCCTTATCAAGTATGGAATAGGGCTTATAAGAAGTAATTAAATATAAATACATGGTCACGAAAATTCAGTCATAAAATGAAAATAAGGAGCAATTCAAATGATGAAATGTGTGATTAGTGAAATCATCCTTTATATGAGGACAGTTATCAAAAGATCAGAAGGCATTTATGAGGAATGCAACTGCTCAATCAACAGAAAAAAAAAATTAAGCACTTATCTCTACAAAGCACTATGCAGAAATCTTAAGGGCTTCAAATTTTATTGGAATTCTAATAAAAAATGATTCCTTTATATTCCTTTGATATATTCCTTGATGTAATATTATCAATCCTAATTTATTGTTCATTGAGCTTTGGATTTATTACTATATTTGACATATTCTGGTGTTTATAAACCAATAGCATATTAATGTTACTCAGTGTTTATGAAGTCCCGAGCCCTTAGAAAGGGTTGTGGTTTCCTTACTTTTAAGTGTTTGTTATTAATCATCACCATAATGTAATGGACTCTCTTGTATATATAGTAATCTAGATAGACAGAGCTCTTCTCTTCAAGGATGCATTTCAGAATACACCATTCTGCATAAAGTGTTAAAGTAAATATACAATATAACAGAGAGATATAGTGAGAGGTACAGGTTATTCTAACATAGAGTAACCTATGCATACTTTGAGAAATAAAAATAAACATAGTCAACCCTCTGTATTTGTGGGTTCCACCTACATATATTCAACCAACCACAGATCTAAAATATTCCAAAAAAATTGCATTTGTACTAAACATATATATATACTTTTTTCTTGTCATTATTTCTTAATACAGTATAACAACTCTTTACATAGTATTTACAGCATATTAAGTGTTATTAGTAATCTAGAGATAAAGTATAGGGGAATATGTGTATAGGGTCTATATAAATACTATACTATTTTATATCAAGGACTCGGGCCTCCACGAATTTTGGCATTCGTGAGATGTCCTGCAATCGATCCCTCAGGGTGAGGGAGGACTGTATTTACCTTAAAATGTACATACTTGTTAGAATAAGAATGTGATAAAAAAGAGAAAATGATTGGTAGTAAGATTTTCTAGAAATGGGAAACATTGAGCTCATTATAAACTGGAGATCCCAGGTATCTTGAATGTTAGATTATAATAAGTTTGGGTGGGGTAGGTTACAAAACTTAAGGCAATGCTGCTTAATTGTAGCATAAATGCATGGAAATACACAGGATACACATGCACATTATGAAACAGGAGAGTCCCCTGCCCACCTCCCTCGCAGGACGTGTAACATGGCTGTGGCTCTCTGTTCGGCCACTGAGATCTCAAATCCGTTATGGGACAAGGGCAGCATGCAGACTGGCAGGTGTAGGAGCCAGGGAGAGCGCTTTTGGGCTCCGGCCCCACTGCAGTGTCTAGGGGTGGGTGGCTACGACTCCCGAAGCCCAAGTAGGCGTATGTTACACAATGTACTCCTTTAGCCTTGCCTTCTGGGGATGGCTGACTGTTAACCCCCAGATTCTTGTCGCGGTCCTGGACTAATAAGGTCATATGAACTGTTTGAAAGGTGATGAATGCGGAGACTTTACTGAGCAGCGAAGATGGCTTTCAGCCAGATGGGGAGCTGGAGTGGGAAGGTGGGTTGGGGGAGATAATCCTACCCTGGAGTTTGGCTGTTCTGGGCCAAACTCCTCTTGACGTTCTGATGCCCCTTTTCTCCTCTGCGTGGCGCCCTGCTCCTCTCTGCTGCTTGCCGCCGCTCTCTGCCGCTTTTGTGTTTTGTGTCCACTAAGGTCTCAGGTTTATGTGGGCACACGATGGGGGACGTGTCAGGCTAGAGTGGCCTTGGAAAATGCAACATTCGGGAGTGAAAACGGGAGTGCCTGTTCTCACTTAAGTCCCTGGGCACAGGCCCGAGGGTGGAGCCCTCTCCAGGGACCCAGCCCTTCTCTTCTCTACGGAGCACTTCCCTGCCCCCTCCGGTGTCAATTACATGGTATAGTCTGAACAAACTGGATCATTCAGAAGAAAGAAACAAATTCAGTCTGAGATAGGTAACAACACTAAGCAAAAAGAAAATGAGATAATTGTTTTATATTACATTTTAAAAGTCCTAAGGATAATAAGCACTTGTTTGATTTGTATTTTTCTTATCACAATGATTTAAACATAGTTTCAATGATTCAAATGATTGAAACACAGGCAGCAACTAACATTATGTTCATGTATTTCATTGCACATTTATCACCTTAGAAACGTTTGGGACTGCAGGATGCTCTTATTTTACCATACTATGATGGTTTTATTTCCAGACTCTTGTGTTTACTATATATTCTATTTAAGCTAATTCCATGTGGGCAAAAATACCATAAAGCAAGAAATGATAACGTGTGATGCCACCATCATTTTTGTGATATTATATGTTGAATTCTGCAGAATCAGTCGATCTTGTATGTGAAAATTCATTAATTTTACATAGGGAATATGACTTTGTTTTTTCTGAATAATATTGGATATCAAAAACTTATGTGATTGTAGACCATAGCAAAATGTGAGGAGTGGGCAAGAAAGATGGTCATGGTTGAAGCTATGATTC